>NC_000006.12:116888971-117192002 GCF_000001405.40 Homo sapiens
TCAGATGACAACATGTACCTAGTTAGACTAAAAGGAAGATTAAAGGGGAAAGGTTATTTTGTTGGCTCCAGAAGAAACTGGGTATGAAATGTGCTAAAGCATTACAGTGGTCATTGCAAAATACTGAGGTTTGTATTGCTAGCAACAGTCTTTCCACCAAAGTACACCAATTTCATGCCCTTTATATATATTGTTTACGTATGCAACTTTTGTTCAATCTCAGTGTTTTACTGATGACCTGGAAATGCAATGTCAGAAGGTGGTTATTGAAAACTATCAGCTTTAAGAAAATTTGTTTTATTGTTTTCTAAATTCCTAGAAGAACACATTGATTTAACCAGTAAATGTATGAGGATTTTTCTTCGTACTAATTTTTAATGAGGAATACAGTGAAGGGAAAGATAAAATTCTCATCCTCGAAATCTTAGGGTTTAGTATGGGAGGTAAGCCATGTATACAAATGCCAATGATACAAGGACAGAGCTGTATAGGGTAAATGACCAAGGGAGGAGTTCAGGGAGTTCAGGAGTTTTGCCTGAGATATCAGGCAAAGCTTCATGTGTTAAAATATGCCTTAAACTATGATTAAGAAATGAGGACCTGATGGAAGAAGGGTATTCCCAATGGAGAGTTCAAAAAACCAAAGGTACCACCGTGGCTATGGCAAGCTATTTATGAAGAGCAAGTCATCCTGATAGTAATAGTCAAGTTTCTACAGTACCTGTGATAGGGTTAAAGGAGTTAGTAGACTTCCTTACATCATGTTAGATAAGAGATTCTTTAATTTCTACCAAATTTTAAATTGTGGTGATATGTTTAAGTATATGATATTATATGAAATCTCTTAATTGGCAAATGTTTTTATGGTTTTGTGACACATTGTTATTTTTAATTTTTCAAGTTATTCATTCATTTATCTAATAAATGTTTATTAATTTCCTATTACAGGGAGCTTACATTCTGCGAGTTTATACATGAAATGTCAAATATGAAACATCCAGATCAGTGGTGTGGGTCTTAATAATTCATGTTAGTTATCTATGCTTACATTACTCCTGCCAAACAAGAATAAAGTGTGTGTGTGTGAATGCAGACATATTTGAACTGTATTTCACTAGAACTTTCTAATTGTAAATAAAATTGCAATACAAAAGAGAGATATCTTTTGCATCTTGAGTGTGGAGGCAATATGGTTTGTGGAATCATGGGTTTAAATTTTGCCTTCAAACCCATAACATTTTTAAACAAATCACATAATTTTTGAATGTCTGTTTTGGAATGGGGATAATGCTCTACTTGCCGGCTGCTGTGAAAATTTGAGATCATGTACACATACAATTCTTTGCATGTAATAGATGCTCAAAAATGGTAATTATTTCTATCATGACTCACTATCACCTGCTTCAATGGTAGCAAATATTAATTTGGTATTACAATTCTCTGTTTGCATTATTTGTTCCCTCACAAGACTGTTAACTCCTCCAGAGACTCTCCTCTACCTCTCTTTCAATCCTCAGCACATGGCACACAGTGAGCACTGAATACATGTAGGAAAAAAAAGAGTGTACTCTTTCACTGGTTCTCTATCTCCTGGCATGTATATAAGATTGTATGATAGAATATGCTCAGCTACATCAACATATCTAAAATCTAAGGCATTGCTAATAAGAAAAGTACATGCCATTTCTCTCTTGTAGAGCTGAGTGTAGCTGACCAAGTCATTTTCTTCAGGTGTCAGTTTGTGTATGGGTTTATAGTGTTATTTACATTTGACTTATACATAAAATACATACATTAATTAAAAAGCACGGTTTTTTGAGTATATATAAAATAGTTACTTTTGTATTTTGGATGTAGGTAGAGGCATTAAATATTTCTATTTGTAAAGATATTCTGTCCTAATGACTGGGGACAGGAATAAGGGGGCCAAATAATATAATCATTTATAACAATAAGAAACAAATAAATTGCATAATAAAACATTCTATCCTTAAAAGTCGTAAGAAAAAAGTTACACATCTGTATTAGTTAGGATTTATTTAGTCTTAAAATGTAGCAATTTTTTTAAAATGTGAATATCAAATGGTTTTAAAAACTGCAAGTAAAATGTACCTCAGTGCTGGTCAGTGTAGTCACTTTTCCATGACAGCAGGCATCAGAAGGCCATAGACTATGGAGGAATTTGGAAATATGGATATTCCTGATCAGATTTTCAATGTCTGTTTTGTTCATCATTGTACTGACAACTAGCACAGTGGTCAGGGCACAGTATCTGCTCTAATATTTTTTGAACTAATGGCCATCCCTTTGACTTGTCTTGTGATTTTTGTGTACCACCTGTGAAGACAGTGTAGTTTGTTCTCAATCTGCATGGCAAACCATTTTACCACGCTGAAAAGAGGATTAGAGTTGAGAAACAAGAAAATTGAAGTTATAATAAAAGAAGTTTATCAATTTTTAAGCCAACGTTTAACATGTATTTCTTTAGCAAGTGGCTAAAATGTAGTATTTAAACTATAAAGCTTATAGAACAAACAGCAAGCTTTGCAAAAAGAACATGAAATTACAACATCTTTCCATTCTAATGGATCTCTGTTTTCAAACATTATTTGATTTATTTCTTCTAATATGTAAACATTTCTTTTGGTATCTTAGTTCTAAAATCTAACAAATGAAATATTAGTAATTATTTCAGACTCTGGCTTATTAACTAATTCTACTAATATATGTGACTATCATCTAAATCTGCTAATGTTTTCACAGTTTTAAATATTTCTCTTACCTATATCTATTAATATAGCTCCTTTGGTAAAGTCTTTATGACTTAAGTAAGCTTCTTTCTTTTCGTTTCTAATTAGAGACATACTCAGTTTAGTATTTTGAAGTTTCCATTAAGTTTTCCATTTCCTTCATTTCTCCCTTTGTTCCATTATACCTTAGAGGTTCTTTTTTTAATCTACCATAGGATTTCTTTTTCTGTACTGTAAAAATGAGCAGTTATGATGGTCCTTTTTTCAGGTTAACAGACTATAATTGTACATTTACCAAAATTGAGGACTTGAAAACATCTTCCCAGTCTTCCAGAATCATAAAATATCTTCATTTACCTTGACCACCATATATTATTGTTTCCCAAATATGACAACTCTTTCTGAAAACATTAGTTATAATATTTGTTGCTGCTGTTGTTGTTTTGATGTTTAAAAATCCTTTTTCCTTCATCTCAAATGACCTTGAATCAGTAGAGGCAAGTTTGCTGCCACAGTCCTGCCCTTAGCACCTGAGAAGAGAGAAGCCATTTCTGGGCCTCCCACTTTGGGGGGCTCATTCTGGCTGTCATCCAGCTGCTGTCCTCCCATGAGGCAGGGAGTCCATAGCCTGAGTGAATGTGTCCATCCAAAAACCACATCCCACTTCTGGGTCCCTGGGGCCCTGGAATTCCCTGTTCAACTCCCCAGGCCCACTTCTTGGGCCTATATTGGGCATGTCCCAAGTCCATCCTCAGAAGGCCACATTGCTTCACTAGTGTTCATAACCCTAGACTGAGGTGTGGTCAGGGGGTAGCTGTTAGTAGGTGATGCAGATGCAGCTGGATCTTGGATGTGCAGTCCAGTTCCCTCACAGTGAACAAAGGAGCCAGAGCTGAAAAATGGGGTGAAAGTGGGTCTTTCCCCACCACCATGTTCCCATATGGAACTCCAGGAGTCTAAGAATGCTAAATTCATATTTACCTACTAGACCATTATGGAGGTAACTTGTCAATGTAAGAGGACAGGAATATTTTTGTTAGCTGTTCATTAGCTCGATTTATAGTTTTCAAATAGCTATTCATATGGTATGTAGGCTTCCATTTGTACTCCCGTCCTGGATCCTGAAAATGCTTAGGAGTGGAACTTCTTGGCCAAGTAGTTCTTTATTGCTGAGGCCAGAGATAGGGCCCTTGATGGATGAACGGAAGATTCATCCATTCAACCAGATGGATGAACTGAGGATTCAGATGGTGGCTCCTCAGTTTAAAGGATCCACTTTAAACTCAGATGGTGGTGCTCGGAAACAACGTTTTAAAATATAATTAGGCTGATGTCCACTGGAAATCCCCTCATTCTCTTTTTTACATTTCTTTCCTGATCCTAGATGAATGCAAATTGAAGGAGTTGGTAAACAGTAGGTAGTGGTGCTTTATGGGGGATGGATGGTGGAGAGTGGAGACTGACCACAGAAAGCAGATGCTAGAGGACTCTGACTATCCTCACTAAATGCCCACTATTCCACTAGCATGTGTATAATATTTGTAGTGTTTGTATATGGGTGTGTAATATGTCAAGAGTTTGTGACTTAGGAGAATAAGCCATAATTTGAGAATCAGTGAGTTGCTATACTTGTATTGTGTCTCATGATCCACTGGCATATTTAAAACAAATTATCTACAGCACTGTTACTTTCCACATGTCATTTTCATTGATTTGCAACATAGCCTTCTCCCCATTGTTGCATGAAATTTTGAAGTGAAAATAGTAGTGAATTGGACTTTTGATTCCTCGTGAGGAAAATAATGTGTAAAGGGTCACATGTTTCATACATATTCCCATGTGTGAGATTGGTCTTCCCTACACATATGGTAAAGAAAACCATAGCATTTTCTTGTCCAATTGACTAAATTCATGTTGAATCACCCAATTTGTAAATACATACAGTACATATACTTAGAGCCAAAGCCTACATTTATACATTATTGGGATTTGGAACCTAATGTTTTAGGGTATGTAAGAGGATTGTCAGTAGGTAATTCTCATTTTTCAAGCCTAGAGTCAGAAATAACAACAATAAGTAGGAGTAGTGACTATCAAAGAGGAATATAGCACATTAAGATGCTGCCTACCTGAAAAATGTCAGAAAAGAAAGGTCATCAGGGTTTGCAGTTCTTATTCATGGTTATGTCAGTTATACCTTAGTCTCTTTTTCCCCTCCAAAAATCTCCTTCACTAACACAGAGCTGGTTCCTGTCTTTGCTCTAGGTATCATTACTATGGGATTGGCATCAAAGAGAGCAGTGCATATTACCACTCCGTTTATTCTGGAAAGGGCTTGACAAGGTAGAGTTACACCATCTTCAAGACAAATTCTCTGTGTTTCTTTAAATATGCATGATACCTATTGAATAAAATGATTTCTTAATTTTGCTTATCAAGATGTTTCCATTTAAGCATCAGACCTTAATGTCCGCTTTGTATGGATGATTATATAATCTAGATTACTGGGAAAATTATATAACTTGTCATAATTAGTGAGAAATTAATTGTGAACTAGTGTTCCAGAGAGATGAAGAGGAGAAATCAAGGAAGCAGAATTGCTTTTAAATTAGTATTTACTAATAAAGCAAAGTCTATTTTCAGGTTGGATTCAATAAAACAAAGGCAGTAAATGTAAATGTAACTTTTTTCTGAGACAACCTGTTTTAAAGATCTATGTGCTTGACTAGTACCTTACCAAGATAGAAAGTTTATTGTAATAATCTCTAATCACATATACTTTGACCATCCTCTTACCTTATGAGGGTGAAATTACTGACCTGTTTGGGTTTCTATGAAAGGTAAAACATGAATGAAAATAAACAGCACATTGCTCTAAGCCACTGTTAACTATCATGGGGATATTAGTAAGTGAGGTTACATCTAATGAAACCAGTGATAACACATCATTCATTTTTTAAACTGAAACTCTGAATAATTAGATGTGTATCTGAGATTGCTTTATGGTACGATTTACCAAGAATTGCTCTTAGCTCTTAAAAGAAGAAATTATTTTTAAAAGTAAAGTATCTTGTGGAAAAAAAAAGTTTAGTCACTGAGTCATACTAAGATAAATTTAGATATTACAAGGAACATAAGGCTGCTTACTAGCCACCACCCCACTATAAAATGTAAATATAGGCTGGAACACACACAAATGTTTAATAGTGAGTGTCCTTTACTTGTCTCAAATCTCACCTGGCTTTTAAAAATATTATTCATTTACTTTTTTTCTAAAGAACTTATTTTGTTTTAGTAAGTTGAGAAAGATGCTTGATTTCTTTAAAAAAAGCAAATTTCTCCAGCTTATTTCTCTAATCATGGTATGAAATTACTGCTTCTTTAGGTTGTCTACATATCATTGAATGCTATAGCTGTAATTTTGTTTGAACTAATGGAAAATGTACTAATTTTTTAAGGTTTTCTGGAAGCAAGCTAAAGAATGAGGTAAGAATTATTTTCATCTCTATTTTACATCTGCTATAATATGTCTTACAAGCTGAGCAATACATGTTAATTATTCCCTTTGGCAAATGTAGAAATAAATGTTATTTATTAGGAATTCCTTGACGAAGGACTTCAGATACAGCTCAATTAGATTTGGGACAACAAATGAATCTTTGCATGGATCTACCAAACAACTTTCAGTTAACCTAGGAGAGATACATTTTTAGTTATCTTTACCTAATATCAGATACTTACAAGACTGTAAAAAAAACACTATCATTTATCCAAAAAGTTTCCACTTAAATATAAACAAAAAGCTTAAGCTGAGGATATGGAAAGAATTGGTCTTTGGACTGCACCCATTTAGACAAAACATTTATTAGTTATCAAGGAGCCCAAATGCTATGCTACACTATGGTTTGTTTTACTACTTTGTGTACACACACACACACACACACACACACACACACGTATACAATCTTTCTCCCTAGGCTTCCTCTCCACCCCCTCCTTCAAGAACAGACTTTATCTAAATGAGTTAGACTACCATTAGGGACTGCATGGGTAATTAGACACATGATAAGGCCTTCATTATTCTCAAGTTAACTAATCATTAAGAAGAGGTGCTGCCAAGCTAAGGGCACATGACAATGTGTTGTGTAGTAAATCTGGACCTGAGGTAAAGTGTAACTCCATTAGTTTGGTGAAATGATGCAAGCATATTTTAAGAAATAATATAAGGCCCCCAACCCACTAAATGGCCAATTTCTTTCCACCAGTGCTTTTAATACAGTTAATGGCTAATTACATAATATAAATCCTCCAGATTGCTCTTTTTATCAATGAAATAATAGCTCTTTATTAGATAAACAATTGTGAAACTGCAAAAATATTGACTTAGAGATACACTTTGGTTGAGTAAAGTTTATGTCAATAGGGAATTTACGTTATTTCTCTCAGGTGTTCTTTCTACTAGTTTGATGAGGCTGGTGGTACTAGCAAGCCCTCTGCCGATAAATGGCAAGCCTTGTTTCATGGAATAAAAGAAAAATATTTCTCAAGTCTACTTTTTCCTCCTTAGAAGAGGACACTGCAAATACTGTTGTAGATTTTGTTACTAAAATTAAAATATTCTGATTAAGCTCTATAGCCTAACCATTTTCTGTGGATACCTGAAGGCAATAATAGTGTACCATTACTTTGATGATTATAGAAATTAACACAACTAAGAGCTTTCTAAAGGCTCAGAACTACTCTAAATAAGTTTAAAATGATAATAAAATATTTTCATAACACAATTGAAATTTTTAAAAATTATTTTCTTTGGGAGGCTGAAAAATACAAAAAATTATTTGGGCATGGTGATGTATGCCTGTAATCCCAGCTACTCAAGGAGGCTGAGGCAGCAGAATCACTTGAGCCCTAGAGGCTCGGAGGTTGCAGTGAGCCATGATTGTGCCACTGTATTCTAGCCTAGGCAACAGTGTGAGACCCTATCTCAAAAAAAAAAAATTGTATTTAGGGCGACCAACCATCGTTGGTGTGCTCAGACATGACTTTCAGTGCAAATCTTCATATACGTCAGTTCATTTGAACATTCATAACTGTGAGGTATGGTGTCAGCATATTTACAGCTAAGAACAATGAGGCTGAGAGATGTATTTGCTTTTTTAAGAGGTCAGAGAAAGATTCTATTTTTTTAAAGCCATGGTCAAGATATTAATTAACAGATGTATTACATTACAGGTACTAGGAGACAAAATGGTGAATGAAGAGATTTGGTCCTGCCCTTCCAGAGCTTTACAGTATAGCAGGAAAGCATATCTTGAACAAGTAATTATAAGAAATTCTAGAGGGTGTCATGGGAGTAACTAGGTTTAGGGAGTTAAGGACATTTTACACAGGAAGTGATATTAAGGAAATAACTCAGAATATAGTGGTAGTTTGGAGGAGGAGTGGAGTAGGGGAAGAGGGAAGAAGAGTGGTTAAGACAGATGGAATAGCATAGGCCAGGGTTTCTCAGCCTCCATACTATGGAAATTGTGGTTCAGATAATAATGTTTATGGAAGATATCAAGTATATTGTAGGATGCTTAGTAGTATCACAGCATCTCTGGCCTCTACCCATTACATTCCAGTAGCAGACCCCCACCCCCTTGTCGTGACAACCAAAAACGTCTCTGACATTGCCAAATGTCAACTACTGGCATATGTGAAGGCAAGCAAGAGGTGTATCATGTTGTAGAAAAAATAAAAAAAATTCTGCTTAGCTATAGTGTAGAATGAGGTAGAGAGTAATATAATAGGTAGAGGCTGGATTGTTTGTAGTCTCATTAGGTTAAGAATTCTGTAATGGGAAGCCACTAAAGGGGAATTATGCATCAGACTTGGTGTTTTATAAAACTCATTCTGACCATGACATGGAGAATACATTAGAAGAGTGTAAGGCAGGAAGCCAGTAGATCCATTGGAGGCTATCTGGATAGTCTGTGTAAGAGAAGATCTGGACCAGAATAATAGCCCAAGGGATGGAGAGAAGTAACTGATTTTAGTTGGGAAATATTGAAGGAGAAGCAGGAAGAAAGAGTAAAAAGATAAGGGGTTTAATTTGGGACTTGTCATATTTGATGTGTTTGTGAAACATTTAACACAAATTTTAAGTGGGAAGTTGGATATATGTGATTGGAAAGGAGGACTTCAAGATTTAGTTTGATGGTGATTGAAGCCATGGTAATGGATAAAAATGCTTAGGGAAAAAATGAATGAGAAGACAAGAGGTTACCAAAAAAAAGTTGTGAAAAGTGAGAGAGGAAGAGTCGGTGAGATAACAGAGGAGAGTCTAGAGTGGTAGGAAGAGAAGGAGGAGAATACAGTGTCACAGGATTCAGGATGAAAAAATGCTCCCTACAGAAGGGAATGCTCAGATGGTGCTGAAAAGTCATCAAGATAAGGAGTGGAAAGGATCCATGGAATTAGTTAAGTGGAGATAACTAATGATTTCAGGGAGAGCCTTTCCAGTGGTGAGCTGGGGTTTGGTTTGTGAAATGAGTGGGAAGTAGCATTGAATGTAGAACATTTAGTCAAGTTCAGGGTGATAATTGGAAAGGACTTGGGATTTGGGATTTTTTGTTTTTGTTTTTGAGACAGGGTCTCACTCTGTCACCCAGGCTGGTGTGCAGTGGCACAATCTTGACTCACTGCAGCCTCAACCTCCTGGGCTCAAGTGATCCTCCCACCTCAGCTTCCCAAGTAGCTGGGACTACAGGCACACACCACCACACCCAGCTAATTTTTTGGAATTTAGTTTTGAAGGATGATTAGACTAATGTCTAATGCTAATAAAACAGGAACAGTAAAGAATGAAGACTGAAAATATTAAAGAAAGGAAAGTTGAGAGCACAAGGTCACTGAGGAGGTCAGTGTAGAGGAATTGGCCCTAGAGAGGAGGAGCAGTTCTTCCACTAAAACTGAAAAGAGAAAGGGTAAGTTCGGATGCAAGCAGATTTGTAGATTTTTGTGGCAGAAAGTTGAGGTAGCTTCTGTTTGGTAGTTTTGCATTTCTCTCAGGAATGGTAGTGTAGGTCATGTGCTGTGGCAAAAATCATGGAAAGAAAGTAGGAGTTTGAGGAACTTAAAAGAAAGTCCTAGCTATTCTCAACCAGGTTTTCTAGAGAGAATATAGCCCTAATGCCCTAAGACATCCACTGAATATAAGGAATAAACTCTGTCGTGCATGAGTGTTTAGAATGGTATTGATTAAGCACCATCCTTGAGAGAATTGAAAAATGGTTGTTCAAATCATTTTCTGTAGGACTTAATTTTCTCACAGATTTATTGAGATGGTAGCAACAGTCTTTGTGGAAGACAAGAAAGTTAGAAGATTGTAAAATTTAAATGGCATGAGCCAGAAGAAATGCAAAATATTCAGGAACAGTTATAATAAGAGAAGCATACTGCCTATTTGGAAAAAAAAAATACAGGCATAAAAGAAAACTACAAGTGAAATGACATACCATGTGCCTGGATAGGAATGCTAGATATTATAAATATTCCAATTCTTCCTAAATTAATTCAGACATTTTATATTATAATGAAAATTTGAGTGGGTAATTAATTTTTGGAGATGAATATGTTACGAGCTTAATCTAGAAGAATATACAGGAAGTAATAGTTAAGAGAAATGTAAACAAGAAGAGTAAAAAGGGGATTTGTCTGCCACATATCAAAATATTATGACATGATACTGAGTCAACTGTAGATAGAACAAATCTGCAGCAGAGTTTAGGTACCTGACAAAAGACCCTAGTATTTATAAGGTTTTAGTGTATGACCAAACAGAAATTACAACAAATGAAGGAAGAAAATATTTTTCTGTGTCCTTTTTGGAGAAAGGTGGAGTACTATATAAATAAAATTATTCAGGAGGTGTTAGAAACATTGACCATTTTGCAAAAAAATTTCTATACCTCACAACTTATGTGAATTTCATATAAACAATTAAATATAAAAATAATACTTAGGAGGAAATATATGTCTACCCCACTTCTGGAAGGAGTTATTCACTTTCTAAGCATAAAAGCAGTTTAAGACATTTCATAGGAAAAAGAAAAACACACACATTGGAAACTTCTTCATATCAAAAGCATCATATGCAAAATTTGAAGTCAAAGGAAAAACTGGGGGAAATATCTTCAGCAAACATGACAATAAAATTATATCCATAGTACATAAAAAATCCTATAAAAATATGAAGACCACAATAAGTAGTAGAAGATGCGAATAGATGATTCACAGTAGAAAGAAAAAGCTAATAAACGCATGAAGAAAGGAGTACCAAATAAACAAAAATTAAGATAACATTTTACAATATGAAACTATGAAATATTTAAAAATTATTGGGAAGTTGGTGAAGGTAGGATGAGATAAACTCTTTCATATCTTGCTGAAGGCAGAATGAATTTTTGGAAAATGTTTGGAAGATCTGCACCAAGTCTTTAAAGTATTTATATCCTTTCCTGCTAATTCTACTTTTGTATGGATTTTGTATGAATCTTTTCTTTTTTTTTGAGATGGAGTCTTGCTCTGTCACCCAGGTCGGAGTGCAGTGGCGTGATATGGCTCATTGCAACCTGCGTCTCCAGTGTTCAAGTGATTCTTCTGCCTCAGCTTCCCGAGTAGCTGGGATTACAGGCGTGCGCCGCCACACCTGGCTAATTTTTGTGTTTTTAGTAGAGTCGGGGTTTTGTCATGTTGGCCAGGTTGGTCTTGAACTCCTGACCTCAGGTGATCTGCCTACCTCAGCCTTCCAAAGTGTTGGGATGACAGGTGTGAGCCACCGTGCCCGGCCTTGAATCTATTTTTATTTCATAGTGAAATCTATTTTTATTTAAAAAAAATTTTTATTTCACTATGAAATAAAAATAGAAATAAAAATAAAATAGGTAAATTTCATAGTGAAATAAAATAGAAAATGCAGACAGAAAATTATGCACAAAATTTTTATTGATTACAGTGAGAAACTATATGTAACCTAAATGACTAATATCAAAGAAATGGTTACATAATTTATTGTACTTTTGTGTGGCTGAATATTATTTATTAAAAGGCTCTTTTAATGATATAGAGAAATGTTAATTATAAAAAAAGGACACAGAAGCAAATATATGTGAAATATGTAAAGCATAACTGGGTATTTACAAATTATATACAGTTGGTCCCTGGCTTAAAATGGTTTGACTTACAATTTTTCGACTTTGTGATGGTGTGAAAGGGATGCGCATTCAGTAGAAACTGTACTTCGAGTACCCATACAACCATTCCACTTCTCACTTTCAATACAGTATTTAATAAATTATGAGTTATTTAACACTTCATTATAAAATAAGCTTTGTGTTAGATGATTTTGCCCTACTGTAACCTAAGGTAAATGTTCCAAGCACGTTTAAGGTAGGCTAGGCTAAGTTATAATGTTCAGTAAGTTGGGTATATTAAACGCATTTTTGACTTACAATATTTTCCAATTGTAATGGTTTTATTGGGATGTAACCCCATTGTAAATTGAGAGGCACTGTATGACAGAGAATTAATATCTATTACTATGTTGTAAAATATTGTAGCTGCTAGCCACATGTGACTATTAATTAAGTAAAGTAAAAAATGCTCAGTCACGTTAGCTACATTTCAAGTGCTTACTGTATTGGACAGGAAAGATACAGAACATTTCCATAATAACAGAAAGCTCTATTGGACAGCACTGTTCTAGAATATGTATAGAATTCAAGTCAATAATGAAAAGACAACCCAACAGAATTATAGCAAAGTATATGAAGAGGCAATTAATTCAGGATAAACAAAGAATGACTAACAGTGCTAGTTGGCATTCTGGTTGACCAGTGTCCATAACGTATGTTGAATACCACCCCTTGCCAATAAAAAAGTGCTCAATCTAAATATTAATCAGGGAAATGAAAATTAAAACCCTAATGTGTGATTGTCTCACATATATTACATTAGCAATAACTAAAATGTCTAAAGACACACTGTTGACAGGAATATGGACCAAAGGAACTCTCAAATAGAGTAGAAGGGACAATATCTAGTGAAGTTGAAGATTTACACACTTTATGACTGCATTCCTAAAGAAACCTTCACATTGTGCACAAGGAGGTGTGTATGAGGATGTTCACTGCGACATGGTTTATAATTGCAGAATACTCGAAAATAATCAAAGTGTTCATTATGATATAATGGGAAATAAGTTTTTATACATTTATACAATGGAGTGCTATACTGCTTTGGGTATGAGCGAATGAATGATAGTTATAATAATCAAATTAGGGTCATCTCAAAAACCTAAAGTTGAGTGAAAAAAGCACATTGAAAATACAAGGATACATAGTGTATTATACCAGTTTTAAAGAACAGTATAATATTAAGAACATTTACATACTAGGTAAATTTTTTAATGTTTGAGTAGAAATGATCTAAACCAAGCCCAGAACACTATTTCTTGTGGGAGAAGAAGGGAATGAAATTAGGCAAGGCTGCTTTAGTATTGGAAATGTCTCATGTCTTAATCAGGATGGTAAGTGGGTATTTATTATTTTTTCTCTATATCTTTTAAAAAGTTTTAAATAGTTCAAAATATAAAAGCAAACAACAACAACAAAAAACAACAAAAACAAAATAAAAAACAGGAAAAAGATGGTAAGAGCGTTACTACTTAGTATTAATAATTGTTACTGTTTTAAAATTTTTATTCATAAATGGAGTGGTTTAAATTTCAGAAATGTCTTAGAGATTGTCTCAGAATCTGTTAATTCACAGGAATAAAACAAATGAACAAAACTTAATTATAATATTTTCTCCCCATCAAAGAAAGCTTTTCTTTTCCTGTGGGTCTTCTAATGTGGGCCAAATTTTTGTTTCAAGCAGCTAGTGAAGTTGACATTATTTCTTAGGGAATGGGTCCATTGATTTCATACATTTCTACCAGGAAGTTTCCTTGATAGCCTGAGTTTTCTTCTCCTTAACATCAACCGTTCACAGCCAGTTGAACAACTTTGTACCAAGATAAATATCAAATCCTCCCTCCTTGGTATATGCTTTTCAAATATTTGTAGACTGTTATCATACTCTCCTTTGTCATCACTTAGCCAAGCCATGCAGCTTAAGTCCTTTAATCTTTCCTCATAAATCAGACCCTCTTGCCTTCTAGTCATATTTGTTTCTTTTCTGTAGGGTCCTTCTTGTTTTCTTTTAGAAATACGATTCTTAATAGTTCACCCAAGAGTACCGAAGTTATCAATTGAGAAAGGAAAAAACAAAACAAACCCAGACCTCTGTAGCTGGCCTATGATCTGGCACCTCTTTTAGTACGATTGTAATAGCAAATATATTAGTGGAATTAGAATGAGCATATTTTACTATTTTAAAGATGATCACTCCTCTCTTTTTGTGTTACACTTACTGGATATTATTCGATTTATGCAATTTATATGATCTTTGTATCCAGTTGTTAACATCCAAAACAAAATTAATTTTAAGGTTTTTTGGGGCCCTTTTGCCCCTTCTTGATGTTGCACATATTGCTAGCTTTGATTACACAAAATTATTATTTACCAATATGAGAGTTTTTAAAAGTATTAGAATTAAAGTTACATACTTTATTTCTTAATATGTGTTTCTTTAGCATGCTAACATTTTTTATTGGGAAATGTGTTATTCACAGCACCCACCCAAACACACAAACACATGCATAGAATTTTTAAAATAATCATAATATGAAAACTCAAGCCCTTTCTCATAACTTAAAAGAGAGGAGTCCTCTGTGCACCCACTTCAATCACTTTTTCCTCCCTACTCATCAGAAGTTACCACTCTCCAGAATATGGTGTTACTGTTTGTTTTTCTGTAAAGTTTGCCACTTACAAATAGATCTCTCAACAACATATTGTTTATTATTTGCCCAGTTGTATCCTACATAAAAATAGGCTCCTTGTTTTCCCTGTGACTTTCTGTTTTCCTTCAATGCTAGGTTTTGTGATTCTTTAATGCTGATATATGAAGTTCTAATTTATTTGTACTGCTGTATAATATTCCATTGTAGGAAACTATCCCAATGCGTTTATTCATTCCATTGTGGATGGGAATTTTTTTTTTGCCTGAAAAACAATATTGACGCAAACAATTCTCCAGGTAGACATCTATAGGAGTTGAATTCCAGGTCCCAAGATATACTCATCTTTAACTTTACTAGTAAAGGTGAAATTATTTTCCAGAGTGGTTGTATCAACTTCTGTCTCTCCAGCTGTGTGTGATCATTACTTTTGTACCTTATTCTTATGCTTGGTATTAAATGACATTTTAGTTTTTGCCAGTCTTGTGGGTGTAAAATCATGTCTGTGTTTTTTATTTGGAAATTGTTTTTAACAACTGATGAGCTAGAATATATTTTTGGATTTTTATTGGTCGATTCTTTTCTGTGAAATGTTTGTTCAGATCATATCGTTTTTTATTTTGAAATTTTAATCTTAAGAGTTCTTTATATGTTCTGGATACTAATATCCTGTAAGTTATGTGTTGTAAATAACTTCTTCCTGTTAGTGGCATGACTCAATATTCTATTGTATCTTTTGATGAAGATTTTTATTTTATGGTTAGTACTTTTTATATCTTGTTTTTTAAAAATTTGTGTATATTCCAAGATTATAACAATATTCTCTATAAATTACTTTGAAAGCATAAAGTTGCTCTGAACATTTATTTCATTTGTAATTGGTTTTTGTTCATATTTTTATTGTGGTAAACTACATATAAAATATACTATCTCAGCCATTTTTGAGTGTACAGTTTTGTGGTATTAAGTACATTGGTATCATTGTGTAACCATCACCACCATCCACCTTCAGAACTCTTTCATCTTGCAAGACTGAAACTCTCTACTCATTGAACAATAACTCCCATCTTCCCTCTACCATGTCCCTGGCCACTACCATTCTACTTTCTGTCTCTATGATGTTTACTACTCTAGAATCCTCTTTAAGTAGAGCCATACAGTATTTGTCTTCTGGTGACTGACTTATTTCACTTACCATAATGTCCTCAAGGTTCATCCATGTTGTAGCATATGTCAGAACATCATTCCCTTTTAAGGATGAATGATATTTCATTGTATGTATATACAGTACCACATTTTGCTAATCCATTCATCTGTCGATGGACAAGTGGGTTGCTTCCACGTTTAAGCTACAGTGACTAATGCTGCTATGAATGTGGATGTACAAATATCTCTTTGAGATCCTGCTATAATTGTTTTGGGTATATACCCAGAAGCGGAATTACTGGGTCATATAATAATTCTATTTTTAATTTTTGGGGGAACTACCAAACTGTTTTACATAGCAGCTGTACTATTTTACATTCTCACCAACAATGCACAAGGATTCCAATTTTTTCACA
The DNA here is from genome assembly GCF_000001405.40 of Homo sapiens. Classification (NCBI taxonomy): domain Eukaryota; kingdom Metazoa; phylum Chordata; class Mammalia; order Primates; family Hominidae; genus Homo; species Homo sapiens. The sequence continues at coordinate 116,905,168 of NC_000006.12, forward strand.
TCCTTGACAACACTTGTTATTTTTGCTGGCGTGTGTTTGTGTGTGTTTTTGTGTTTATAGTAGCCATCCCAGTGGGTGTGATGTGGTATCTCATTTAGGGTTTGATTTGCATTTCCCTAATGATTGTAACATTGAGCATATTTTAATGTATGTACTAGTCATTCATATATCTTCTCTAGAGAAGTGTATATCAAGTCCTTTGCCCATTATGAATCATTTTGTTTACTTTTATGTTGTTAAGTTTTAGGAGTTCTCAATATATTCTGTATATTAATCCCTTATGAAACATGATTTGCAAATATTTTCTCTCATTCCATACATTGCCTTTCTACTGTGATCATAGTGTCATGTACAGTTATATGCATAACTTTTATGAACAAAAGTGTTTCTTTTTTTTTTTTTTTGAGATGGAGTCTCACTCTGTCACCAGGCTGGAGTGCAGTGGTGCAGTCTCGGCTCACTGCAACCTCTGCCTCCCGTGTTCAAGCATTCTCCTGCCTCAGCCTCCCAAGGAGCTGGGACTGCAGGCGTGTGCCACCATGCCCAGCTAATTTTTGTATTTTTAGTAGAGACAGAGTTTCACCATGTTGGCCAGGATGTTCTCAATCTCTTGACCTCATGATCCACCCACCTCAGCCTCCCAAAGTGCTGGGATTATAAATAGTTCATGAAGAACTATTTTTTTTATGAAGTACAATTTGTGTAATTTTTGTTGTTACCTGTGTTTTAGTGTCCTATATAAAATTTTTTTTCCAAATCACATGTTTCCTTCTAAACATGTTTCCTGTTTCCTTCTAAAATTTTTATAGTTTTAGCTCCTACATTTAGATATTTGATTCATTTTTGGTTAATTTTTGTATATGATGTATGAGGTAAAGGTCTGACTTTATTCCTTTGAATGTGGACATCCAGTTTTCTGAGCACACTTTGTTGATAGAACTGTCCTTTCCCCATAGAATTGTCCTTTCCCCATAGAATGGTTTTGGCACCCCTATCAAAAATTATTTTACCATATATGTGAGGATTTGTTACTGGCCTCTCTGTTCTATTCCATTGGTTTATGTGTCTGTCTTCATGACAGTACCATATTGTTTTGATTACTGTAACTTTATAGTACGTTTGAAATCAGGAAGTCTTCTCTGACTTTGTTCTTCTTTTTCAAGATTTTTGGCTACCCAGGGTCCCTTGAGATTCCATAGATATTTTTAGGATGGATTTTTCTTTTTCTGAAAAAACTGTCACTAGGATTGCATTGAATCATTGAATCTATATCTCACTCTAGGCAGTATTGCTATCTTAAATATTAATTCTTCTAATCCATGAACATAGAATGTCTTTTTATTTATTTATGTATTCTTTAATTTCTTTCAGCTCTTTTATGTAGTTTGTATTGTACAAGTCTTTCACTTCCTTGGTTAAATTAGTTTTTAAGTATTTTATTCTTTTTGATGCTATTGTAGATGAAATTGTTTTCTTAATTTTCTTTTCAGGCTGTTCATTATTAGTGAATATAAATGCAACTAGTTTTTGCATGCTGACTTTGAATCCTGCTACTTTGTTGAATCCATTTATGAGTTGTGTGTGTGTGTGTGTGTGTGTAATTTTTAGGGGTTTCTACATATAAGATTATATCATCTGTGAACAGAGATTTTCTACTTCTTCCTTTTCAATTTGGATGCCTTGTGTTTTTTTGTTTTTTTTTTTTTGCCTAACTACTCTAGCTAAGACTTCTAGTACCATGTTGAGTAGAAGTGATGAAAGCAGACTTGCTTTGTTCCTGATCTTTGAGGAAAAGCTTTCAGTCTTTCACCATTACATATGATGTTTTCTATAGGTTTTTCATAAACAACTTTTATTATGTTGAGGTGGTTTTCCTATATGGCTGGTTTGTTGAGTATTGTTATCATGAAAGGATATGGAATTTTTTCAAATACTTTTTCTGTACCTAATGAGATTATCATTTTTTTATTCCATTAATGTGATGTAACACATTTATTGATTTTTATATATTGAACCATCCTTGCATTCCAGAAATAAATCTCACTTATTTATGGTGTGTAATCCTGTTAATATGCTGTGGAATTTGGCTTACTAATATTTTGTGGAGAGTTTTTGCATCAAAGTTCATAAGGGATATTGGTCTGCAGTTTTCTTGCCTTGCAATGTCTTTGTCAGGCTTTGGTATCAGGGCAATATTGGCCTCATAGAATAAGTTACAAAGTACTCCTTCCTCTTCAATTCCTTGGAAAACTTTGAGATGTATTGATATTAGTTCCTCTTTAAATGTTTGGTAGAATTCACTGCTGAAGCCAACTCTGGGGCTTTTCTTTGAGTGTGTTGGTTAACTACTACAAATTTGTAAATTTTCCAGTTTTCTGCTATTATTTATTTCCAAGTTCATCCCATGTTGGTTGAAGAAGGTACATTGTATGACATCTATCTTTTCGAATTCACTGAGACTTAGTTTGTGGCCTAACATATGGTCTATCCTGGAAGATGTCCCATGTGCTCTTGAAAATAATGTGTATTCTGTTGTTGTTGGGTAGATTATTCTGTATATGTTTGTTCAATATAGTTGGTTTATTATGCTGTCACATCCTCTATACTCTTACTTAACTTCTGTCTGTTTGTTCTGTCCGTTATTGAGAATGAGGTGTTAAAGTCTCCAACAATTATTGTAAAACTGTTCATTTCTCCCTTTAATTTTGTCAATTTTTCTTCATATATTTTGATTATCTGTTATTATCTGTTATCTGTACATACCTGTTATTAGGTACATGTACATAAAGGGTTATGATTATTAGATCTTTTTTGCCTAATCAAAATTTTGTTAATGTATAATATCCTTGTCTGTTACACACCTTTTAAAATTTAGAGTCTATTTTGTCTAACTTCATTCTGCCAATATCTGTCTTCCAATTGGAGAGATTGATTCATTTACATTTAAAGTAATTACCATTAATCAACTCCTCATTATCCTCCATTACCCACTACACTTTCTAGCATCTTGTAACCACTATTCTATTCTCTAAGTTCATGTGATCAAATTTTTTATCTCCCATATACGAGTGAGAACACGTGATATTTGTCTTTCTGTGCCTGGCTTATTTCACTTGCCATAATATTTTCCAGTTTCATCCATGTTGTTGCAATTGACTTTTAAATTGATCTTGTATTCAGCAACTTTGCTAAAAAAAACTTTATTGTTAACCATAATTTTTGTGTAATTTGTTTTAGTTTTTCAATGAAATCAATTACATCAGTAGCAAATAATGCTAATATTGTCTCTTCCTTTTCGGTACTTAATCTGTCATTACTTTTTCGAGTTCATTATTATTCTGGCTACAAACTCTGGTATAGTGTTGAGTAAAAAAGGTGAGAGCAGGCAAATTTACCTTGTTTGTGATTTTCAAGGGTATTTTACCACTAAGTAAGACATTTGCTGTGGGCTTCTGATAGATATTCTTTGTATAATGATTAAGTTTTCCTCTATTTCTAGCATACACACACACACACACACAGACACACACACACACACACACACACACAGAGGGATTGAGAGAGAGAGAGGCTAATGAATGGTAGTGGATTTTAAACAAACTTTTTCCTGCATCAGTTGAGATGATTATATAATATACAGCATTCTCCTCTGTTTGTTGTTAATATGATGAATTTAAACCTGAGTATGATTGTACTTATATACTACTGAATTTTGTTTAATATTTTGTTTAATACTGTCTTTAGTAATAAGTGAAATTGAAATATAATTTTTCTTTTTCTGTTCTTGTCTAGTTTTGACATATACGTTTTCAAGTGAATTGGGAAGTTATCCTTTTTTCTATTGTCAGAAAAAAATCTAGTAAGCTTAAAATTGTCTGTTTCCTGAATGCTTGATAAAAGGTCACCTGTTAAAATCTTTTGAGTCTGTTTTTTTCTTTGTAAAAGGATTTTTGATTACTAATTATATTTCTTTAGTGGAAATAAGAGTATTCCTTTATTCCTAACTGCGATTTAATATCATACTGTGTATTATCATTTTGGGAGTTTATATTTCTCTGTTTCTCTTTTCCTATATCACCAAATCACATATTGAGATGAATAAACATGACTTTCCACACAAGAGAAAAAATATATGAAAAGTGCAAACCTTTCTAAAATTAAGATTTAGGTAAATTTTTGTTATGCTTATCCAACAAATGTTAGTTTTCTGTTTTGTCATATAACTTCCTTCCTTTAAGGATTAAGTTATTTATTTTCTTGTTTCCTATATTATTTTTCCCTATTTATTGACAGTAACATTCCTTGACAGTGCAATGATAATTGGTGCTCATAAATGGAAAAGCCAAGCATTGAAAGTCTTTGAAGCATTTCTTAAATTAAGATAGATTAATAAATAGAGTGGATTGGGATTAACTATGCTATTATATCAGTTTATGATAATTATTAAATAATAGTTATTAATTAAAAAATTAAGAATATACTTGAAAAGAGATTAATAAAGTAAAAATTAAACATAATTTTTAAAAATGAATTTCTACTATATTTTAAATATAAAGCTCATTTAAATCTTTTTTTTTTTTTTTTTTTTTTTTTTTTTGAGACGGAGTCTTGCTCTGTCACCCAGGCTGGAGTGCAGTGGCACGATCTTGGCTCACTGCAAGCTCTGCCTCCAGCTTATTTAAATCTTAAATAAGTCAACAAGAAATCAGGGCTTCTAAAATATCTGGTGTTAAAGGACTCAAAAGTACTCCCAGTTCCCTTGGCTCTACCCTTATAAGTTCTAGAAAGACAGGATGGGAACCCAACCTGTCTATGACAGTAATTAAGTTTTTGTCTACTAAACATCTTCAATATGACAGAGATAAACAAAGAAGTGCAGTCTAGAAATAAATGTGAGAAAATTATGAGAAAGAACAAAATTTTGTCCTTGCCAGGGACACTTTATGTCCTTTATTATATTCATAATTTCATTATTTCCCCAAACTTTTGATTACAATCTGGTTTGTTAAAATTTTGTTTGGGGAGGAGGAACAATCAGTTATGGCCTGGGAGACTGATTTGCTGAGGCTCCAGTTCTGTCATGAATATGTGTTTGTTCTTCCTGTGTGGGTTTCCTGTAAGTATACCAGCACAGTAGCATTATAAGTTATTTGTCACTTTTCTAATTTTCTGAAAATAGCTCAAGTATGCTTTCTCCAAGAGATGTGAAAGAACAACACATGCCTGAATTTAGGGTAGAAGAAACTTACTGTGGGAGAGTCCAGTGCACTAGCTTGAGAATCAGAAGTTAGACTCCAATAAAAATTTTGCTAGTAATTACCTCTGAGACTGAATAAATTATTTTACGTTCAATCATCTCATTTACTTAATTTGTAAAAAGGAAGGTTGGATTTGACAATTCCTGATCCTCTTATAGTTAAAATAATTTCAGTAGTTTCAAAGGCAGATCTTCCTAAACTTATGCCATTAGCAAATGTGTACTTAAATTTCTAAAAGTTGTGAAAACTGACAAATATTCAAAACTAAAATTTGAAGTGATAGGAAAAATATTCTAACTATGAAACTATTGAAGGTTTGAAAACCATTTGGCTGACATGTCTCGTTTATTCAGTTACACAATCTAAACAGTCTACTCAAATCTCGTAAATTCTCATGGTTTGCAGGATGAAGAAGAATGAAATTTTATGGATTTGTATTTTACTAGAATAGTACTTTGGAAGCATATAGTTGATAATGATGTATTTGTTTTCATTTTTCTAAATTATAGGGTGGCTTCACTCGTAAATATTCGCTTAGCTCAAAAACTGGAACACTTCTTCCAGAATTCCCCAGCGCTCAACACCTTGTATACCAAGGATGCATTTCTAAGGACAAGGTATCAATTACAGATACTTCTCTATTGATTTTCTGATATGTTGGCTCCATATGTCAATTTGCTGGGAATTTCATGGTACTGCAGGAAGCAATCAGAAATCTGCATAATCAAACATAATTGACTGATTTATAGGAGAGGCAAACTTTTGTTAACATTGATTAACACTTCCAATTAATTATTTACCATCTCCATGATAGTGTGTAATCAGAAGGTGGTAAAATAAACCTTAAAAGACTAAACATTATTTTTTATTTAAAGCTCTATTGAAGAAGAAAATACTAGAATGTGGCTGTCACATACACTTTCTTCAGTTAAAAGTTTTATGTTTTCAATTATCTCCATTTTATTTCAGCAAATGGTCATCAAGCATTTCTCTAGGACAGAATCTGTCCCTAGCACTGAGGGACATGCTAGATGAATGCAAGAACTATGCTAGATGAGCATGAACTTTCCTTACTTCTAAAATTCTGTGTTCTCTTATATTTGCATTTTTTAAAGTTAAGAAAGAATCATTTTCATTGGGATTCAGTTTATAAATAATTCTCAATATGACTTTTCAATGTTTATGTAATAGCGTGTAAACTATATCTTCGATTTCTGTACTTCTAAAGTCATTTGTCGGGGATCTGTTGGCTGTTTAGTAGCAGAGACCATTATTAAATTAGAGCATAATTATTTCTACATTTTTGTTTCAACCAAAGTACATGTTTCATTAGCATTTGAAGAAGACATCTCTTACAGTATATTGAGTTAGTTCGTATTTCTGAGGTACAAAGATAGAGGAATATGATTAATGTCCAGATGCTTTACTTTAGTAATGGGCTTTTTGTAGAAATGAGGTAAAGATAGCACATTGATTTAAAAAAAATTTATTGGCATATAAGTAGAGATGCATAGTAACTTACAGGGCTCATTTTGATGACAGCCATACTCTGTTAGTTAAGAATAGGCAAAGTATTCTTTAGAAAGAATGAAAACATGTCTTTTGCAGCAACATGGATGCAGCTGGAGGCCATTAACATAAGCAAATTAATGCAGGAGAAGAAAACTAAATACTACATGTTCTCACTTATAAGTGAGAGCTAAACACTGGGTATTTCTAGTCATAAAATGGCAACAGTAGACACTGGAGACTACTGCTGGGGAAGGGGGAAGAGGGAAATGGGTTGAAAAACTAACTATTGGGTACTACGCTCAGTATCTGGGTAATTGGATCATTCGTATTCCAAACCTCAGCATCTCTTGGTATACTTACGTAACAAACATGCATATGTACCCTCTAAATCTAAAATACAAGTTGGAAAAAAAAAAGTAAAATATACCCTTAAAAAAAAGAAGAGGCAAATGAAGATAATTCTCAAATGCCAAATCCAAGGGAGTCTCTCAAACTATGTTCACTTCTGACTGTTCTCTCCCATTACATTTCTCAAGGTTATCACATAATTTTTACCTTATAGATGTAATGTGTGATATGATGACTTTATATTTGAGAATCCCCCAGTAAATGTTAACATGTGGCAGTTTGTGAGGATTCCTGTGGAAATCAGGAGGATCTCAGTCTTCTGAGGGAGGGTATTATTGGGTTACTTTTGTGGAGAGGATTGCTTCCATGCAAACTTATCATGAAGATGTTTATGGTGTAAATATACCTGGTGAGAGAGAGAGGGGGACCAAAAAGGCAAGCAACAAAGAAGAAAGGAGAGGTGAGAAACAGGCTCCAATAGTTTACCTCAATAGTTTGCTGGGAATTTCATGTTTCTCTGCTGGCCTCCAAGGAAGTTCATACCTGCCAATTTGAAAGACTGGTCTGTAGATCATTTCTCAGGTATCAAGGTGCTTTTATAACCCTTGGTTTCTAAGTTCATTCCCAGTGGACTCCATCATGAAAGCCAGGGACTGACACTCTTTTTTGAGGACAATTTAGCTCTGTCACCTTCCTTGCCATTAGCCAGGCTCCTCAGGTAACTTATCAGTTCCTAGAAAGTGCGGTGGGGCTAAAATCAAGCACTTAAGGTACCTGCTTCTTTTTCTTTTTTCTTTTGAGACAGACCCTCCCTCTGTTGCCCAGGCTGGAGTGCAGTGGCGCCATCTCGGCTCACGGCAACCTTTGCCTCCCTGGTTCAGTGATTCTCTTGCCTCAGCTTCTGTAGCTGGGATTACAAGTGCCTGCCGACATGCCTGGCTAACTTTTGTGTTTTTAGTAGAGACGGGATTTCCCTATGCTGGCCAGGCTTGTCTCGAACTCCTGACCTCAAGTAATCCACCTGCCTCAGCCTCCCAAAGCATTGAGATTACAGGCGTAAGCCACCGCGCCCAGCCAGCACTTGCTTCTTTAAGGCCGAAAGAATGGAAACTGCCCAGTGAAAAGCTGACCCCAGTGAGGGTACTGAGAAGCTGGGGGCCTGCTACTCATAGTGTCTCTCGAGGCAGTTGTCTCCCCCACCACGTGCTCACTGTCTTTAGTGGAGCTAAGCCTTGCCTCTGCTCCTGCCCACTCTAGTACAATGTCTATTCTCAGAAAATTGACTAAGATTATGTTTATAAAGAATGCAAAGTACACTGGAATTAAAATTCATTGCGCTAAGACTATGTAAGTATTAAATAAACAAATTAAGTATTATGCTAATTGTGAGTTTTAAAAATTTTGATGATTTGTATATAAAGCAATAAATTTTGTAACAAGTAGAAATACTTGTGAAGATAAAGGCTTACTTGTACTTTAATAGGTTTCAGGGCTCAAAGGATTAATTTTGAAAGAATTTATTGATATGGAATAGATGTACATATTTTGGGGGCACATGTGATAATATGCTTATATAATTTGTACGGATAAATCAGTGTAATTGGGTTACTGATCACCTTAAATATTTATCTTCTCTTTTTGCTAAAGACATTTGAATTGTTCTCTTCTAGCTACTTTGAATATGCAATAGATTATTGTAAGCTATAATCACCCTACAGATCTATCCAACACCAGATCTTATTTCTTCTATCAAATTGTGTATTTGTACCCATTAATCAACTTCTCATTATTTTCCTCTCCCCCTCCTCTTTCCGACCTCTGGTAACCACCAGTCTACTCGCTACCTTCATGAGATCCACTTGTTTAGGTCCCACATATGAGTGAGATCATGTGATATTTGTCTTTCTCTGCTTGGCTTATTCTACTTAACATAATGCCCTCCAGTTCCATCCATGTTGCTGCATATGACAGGGTTTTATTTTTTATGGATGAATAATATTCCCTTGTGTATATACCACATTTTCTTTATCCATTCATCCATTGATGAGCACTTAGGTTGATTCCATATGTTGGCTATTGTGAATAGTGCTGCCATAAACATGGGAGAGCAGATATCTCTCTTTGATATATTGATTTCCTTTTTCTGGATATATACAGAAAGGGTTAATTTTTGACAACAGTTATGACTTCCCTTCCATCTTTCGTGTGTTACTCATCCTCATTTTAAACATATGACTTGGAATAATCTGAAAATATAATAGCATTGCCTGAAATATAGAGCAATTCTCATTTGCATTGATGGTAACATATCCTGCTAGAGGTATTCTATAGTCAGCACAGCTCCTTCAGATGGATCAATAATGTTCATATCATGGTTCTACAGCTCTAAGCTAAACCACAAAGATATGTGTATTGGGTTGTGGGAATAAAGGGAAATGCAAAGGGTTAGGATAGGACACCTCCATCACCACCACCACTCTAGATGCTATTGGAATCAAAATAGCTGACATCCATCAGTTTCTTAATATGTACTATGGATTATTCCAAACACTTTATATTTGTTAATTCATTTAGTCTTCCTAGCAACCCTATTTTATAGCTACTGTTATTATCATGTCAATTTTAGATATGAGGAAATTAAAGCACATAAATATCAAGTAGTGTGCCTAATGTTACATAACTAGTAATAACTAGTAAGTGGCAAATTAGAGCTGCGATTGAAATCCAGGTAATCTGAAGGCAAAGCTCACACATTCAACCTCCAAACATTGCTTTTTTTCACGTAGAGTACATAACTGGCAACAGGTAGGGAAATTTCTAACATGTAAAATAAAAGTTTTAGTTTGAATGTTATTAAGTGGCCAGAATATTATCTAGTTCTAGCCTATTGCAAATTTTAGAATATATTTAAAACTTTTAAACTATGCTATGCAAATATCCATGGTAACTTGAAAAGAGAGACTTTTCATAATAGACATTCAATGTTTGAAACTTTTTTTTGGAAAATGCATCATTTGATATTATTACTAACTCTGGATAATGTTTAGTAAGGTCTTACTGGGTGCCAGGCACTGTTCCATATGTGTCACATCCTATTTTATTTGATTTTCTTAACACCATGTAAGTAATATGTTATTACTACCTACTTAAAAAGCTTGGGAGCTCAGAGACAAAGCCACTTTTGCAGTCATACCTGGTAAGTAGTGCAGTGAAGGTGGGCACCCAAGTTGAGCTGACTCCAGAGACAAAATTTGAAACCATTATGCCATACTGCTCCAAGCATCCACTTCATAAAACTGTGTGAAGATTTGATGTATTTTACTACTTTATGTTTATTTATCCAAATCTTTGTTACTACTTTTACTACTTTATGTTTATTTACCCAAAAATTAATTTTAAAAAATTTAAATTTAAATTAAAAATTAAATTTTAAAATTTAATATTTTAGTAGGCATAAAACTAGGATGTTACTTTGGTCCATAGTACTCTGAAAAATTACCTTTTTCATATTATACTGTAGTTGTCCATTTGTTTGCTTTTCTCCCTTCACAAGGCAGTAAGATCCTTGAAATAAGAATTTTGCCTTAATTTTTGAGTCCTCAACATTGAGCATACTGCTTGGTACGTAATAGGATCTTTTAAAAAATCTGTGTTGAACAAATTAACAAGAAAAGGCAGTGTTAAAAGGATGCTTTGGTTAAGCTTTTTCTTCCTTGAAATAGGTTGATACGCTCATAATGATGTACAAAACTCACTGCCAGTGTATCCTGGACAATGCAATTAATGGAAACTTTGAAGAGGTAAGAATGACAAAGAATGCTTTATTTGACCCTATTATATATACTTTCATGTTCTGTTCTTAATGAGTTCATGTTAAAGAAAAAAATCTTAACATACTTTTTACTCTGCAACTAGATCCAGCATTTTTTATTACACTTTTGGCAAGGAATGCCTGACCATCTCCTTCCCCTGCTCGAAAATCCTGTTATCATTGATATTTTCTGTGTTTGTGACTCAATTCTTTATAAGGTAAGCACTTTGGGATGTCTTAAACATGAGCCATTTATTTCTTTACGTAGCATTCTATCTAAATTCTTGCAATATATTTTCAGTAAATATGTTATTTATGGCTGGATATACACTGTCTTTTTTTTTGATGAGAAAGCAAGCAATTTAATAGTGCACGTTTAATAGTGTATGTGTTTTAATTGAAGTTTACATTAAGTAAAACAAACTCAATTTCTTTTTACAGCTAATAATGAGTCTATATGTGACACACTTATTAATATGTGAAAACTTAGTTAAATTTTATTAACTCTCTAAGGTGTTTTCAGATTAAAATAACACAGTGGATTTTTTTTCACAATGCCAGTGTTTTGGCAGAAAGCAGAATTAGGCACCCTTATGAGATTAATAACTTGAAAATCTCAAAAACCTCTAACTTTAATGCATTAATGTCTAATTCTCTTCTCAAACCAAATCAGAGTTCCTAAGTGTCTGCAGAAGGATCTCGAAGACATCCTAAATAAGGACAAACTGATTGTCCTTCTAGGCAAACATTTAATGGAAGACAGAAAGAGGCTAATTCTTGACAGTCTCTTCCCTGGTGGCTACAAGTTCTAAGCTGATGGATAAAACTATATTGCAATGTGGGTACTTTAAAGTGAGTTTGCCTACATTTGCTTTCTAACTTACCATAAGGAAAAACAAAAGCTTTCCTTTTAAAAAATAATCTGAGTTGGCAAGAAAACCCAAGCTGGACGCTGTTAAACATTTAGGAAATAAAATCCTTCTAAGTTAGTTGCCACTATCAGATTCTCAGCTTTGCAGAAAAGTAAAGCAAAAGCTATTTATAGATAAACTAAGTCCAGAAGCCCCTAAGCAGACCAAGAAGTAATGAGACAACTTGAATAAGAGAGTGCATATTTTTATCCTCTGTCCAGTACTTCCTCATCACAGGATAGGAGAAAGGAGGAATAAAGTACAATATATTTTCTGCCTTTAGTTCAAGTTCAAGTTGAAAAAATTTCAGAGGAGAGTAAGGATTGTCTTGTTTTTTTTTTTTTTTCTGGATTGAATATGAATGCCATTATTTAGAGAAAAACAGTTTAATTTGCATTAATTGTTTGTAATGCTTAACACTTGACAAGGCTCCCAAAAGGGGAGGGGAGGCAGCTCCGTGAGTGAGTATAAGAAAAGACCTGGGGCTCATGCACACAAATTTCCATCAGACCAAAGCTTTTTGGACTGTCATTCAGTTTGTCCAAGAAATACTTTTAAAACACACTTCTCCCTTTAAGTGATCTGTTTTTTTTAGTCTAGTATAAACATCCTGACTTTAAATATCTTTAAATGAACCTGGTTTCTCCTCCTCATGGTGGACCCAGAGAGGCACAGTGAGCTCTGTAAGTAGAACGGTGTAAGATGAGCTTCTACAAAAATCTTCCTCCCACCTCTAGAAAGTGGTCAGCTTTTCATCATAAAACGGTATATGATTACCATGGACCAATCCATTGGTAATTAACATACTGAGCATGTACATATACAGTGCTATCTCTTGTTTTTATTGTCATACACACTCACACACAACTCATACATACATTCATTTTGGAGATAAAATTATAACTTTGAGAAAGGAGTTAACATGTTATTCTCTAGGAAGCTAGGAATAAAAAGTAGTTGACCAATAATATGTCTTTCTATAGAAATACTAAGTAAAGATTTGTATTAACCTCTTTTGCTATGATTAAGGTTCTTACAGATGTACTCATTCCTGCAACAATGCAAGAAATGCCTGAAAGGTATGTTCAGTTAATAAAACATGAGCATTCCTAGTATAGGATTTAACTTTATACATTATATTAGAAGAAAACATTAGGTAGTAATTTATTCATTTATCAAGAAGACTATTTTCTACTTTTGTCCCTTTGTATTTGCTGGAAGAGATGTGTCTTATAGCTGGGCCTCAATAAACAAAATGGGTGAAACAATCCTTCAATCCCTTTAATTTGAGAGCGGCTAAAGTGAAAAATAGATTTAAGCACTGTTGATCTTCGAGAAATTTTTCAATGGAAACTAGCTGGAGTATGATAAAAAAGATAATTAATGGAAAATAACCACAAGAATAAAAACTATAGGAGAAATTATTGTATTTTATTATTAACTTTTGTCTTAATTACAAAATCAGAAAGTGGCATGATGAAATTACTGCCTTCTTTTAACAAAGGAATAAAATCTCAAATAGTTTATTGAAACAATACCAGAAGATTTTTCAAAAAAAAAAAACCTTTTCAATATAAGAACAATAGAATTCTGAAAAAAAAAAGCCAACTTTTTCTCTGAAAACAAAATCTAATGAAATGATAAAATTTATTTTAGTATTTTGGGGGTACAAATTCATATAGGACTGGACATAGTTGGTGCTCCAAAAATAGATGTTGCTTGGTAAAACAAATTTTACTTTTTATTTACCTTTTCCTCCAGATTATTTCATCTATATGATAGTTGGTATTAGCCTGATCAATAATGTCTTTTAATTATCAATTGTAGTCTTTAAATATCTATTCTGTACTCTGAATTGGGTACTTGAAGTGGAGTTTGAAGAGCTTGAGTGTTTTGACCAAGATGATAACAAAACATCTCATGTACCCCATAAATATATACACCTCCTATGCACCCACAAACATTTTAAAAATATAGCATAAGAAAAGATGATAAATGGCAGATCTAGGCTGTCTGACTTCAAAAGTACTGCTTATGAAACCATAGAATAATAGTATACCTCAATTAAAATATGATTGTTTAATGCATTTTTTAACAATGAAGCATTTAACACATAGCCTTCTTTGTAGCTTATTAGCAGACATAAGAAATTTTGCTAAAAATTGGGAACAGTGGGTTGTTTCATCCTTGGAAAACTTGCCAGAAGCTCTAACTGACAAGAAAATACCTATTGTGCGAAGATTTGTATCTTCTCTGAAACGACAAACATCTTTCTTACATCTTGCCCAGGTATGTTGGTTGCTAAGTCGAGAGCATTTGAGTCACCATATAAAAAATGAATCTTCTGAGAAGGACAGATTGAGGAACTTTCATAGATTGAAGGGAGCTAAGTAGACAACAACTAAATGCAACGTGAGACCCAGAAGTGAATGCTATGATAGAAAAAGCACATTAGTGGGAAAGCTGGTGAAATTTGAATTATGTCTGTAGTTAATAGTATTGTACCAATGTTAATTTCATAATTTGGGTAATATACAATAGTTACAGAAGATGATAAGAAGCTGGATGGAGAGTATATGGAAATATTCTGCACTATCTTTGCAACTTCTCTGTGATTGGAAATTTAAAAAACTTGAATGCAATTAAACATTTATTTGCCATGTGAATCTAATTGGTACAAATTAAGGTTGTGAGAAGTAAGCCTGTGTGATACTTAATATTGTGAAACCACAAACTCAACACATTTTAAACTGCCGACTAATCATGGCTCTTTTAAATAGAGCAAAAGTAATTCATAAGTTAAGAATGATGCATTTGTATATTGTTAAAATATATTTCTCTTTCCCCAAAATGATTATCTGCTTTATGAAGGTTTCTTGCCTTCTAAATTTTAAAAGACAAGCTTGAGATGATTTCAGATAGGAAATGTAACATTTAAAAATTCTTATTTTGTGATCATGGACAAAGAGAATCCATTTATATTTTCTTTTTCTATTTTTTATTATACTTTAAGTTTTAGGGTACATGTGCACATCGTGCAGGTTTGTTACATATGTATACATGTGCCCTGTTGGTGTGTTGCACCCATTAACTCATCATTTACATTAGGTGTATCTCCTATAATTTTCAGACTTTTAACAGAGATGATCATGAGTCTCAGCTACTGCTTTTGTCTTTAAAATAAGAAAAAAGTTATTTATGATACTTTTATCTCAAGGAACTATTTTTCTGATAGCTAAAAATTTCTTCTAGATACATTAGAAATGATATAGTGTAGTGTCTTCTTTACTTTCTCTATGCAGATTGCCAGACCAGCTCTCTTTGACCAGCATGTCGTTAATTCTATGGTGTCTGATATTGAAAGGGTTGATTTGAACAGCATTGGCTCTCAAGCCCTTCTTACCATTTCAGGCAGCACAGACACTGAATCTGGTATCTACACTGAACGTAAGTCCATTCTCTTTGTTTAGAACAAGGTTTTCTAAGCTCAGAAAATTGACATCTTGAGCTGGGTAACTCTGTTGGAGGAGCCTGTCCAGTGTGCTGTAGGATGTTTAGCAGCATCCTTGACCTTTACCCATTAGATGACAGTAGCAGCCTCCCCCAAGCTGAGACAACCAAAAATGTTTCCCCACATTGTCAAAGGTGTTCTGGGCTGAAAAATCACATCTGATTGAAAAAAAACCTGGTTTATAAAAATATTTTTAATTAAAAAAATTTATCTTCTAATAAAAAATAGTTATAATTACTCACCATGGAAAAGATAGAAAATATTGAGGAAAATAAAAGTCATCTGTAATTTCATTACCTAGAAATAAATGAAATGGAAATAATCTGAAAATAATCAAATTGTTTTGAGTTTTGTAAGTTTTCTTTCAGTTTTACATTACATGTATAGAAATTTACATGTGTTTTATAGTCTTGTCATCCTGTGGTGTGTGATAAATATCAAAATGGTATCTCAGCACAATACTGCTTTTCAAAGCAGACTCTCTACTCAGGTTTGGACCATCTGAGAGAGCTTACCAAGCCAATATGCATGGCTAGACAACTAGGCTTGAATTTCAAGGGATAACAGCCACTATTTTTTCCTCCCTCTGTCTTTGAAAAGACAAAACCTGCAGCCTCCTATACACTGGAGCACAAACTATGGACTGCTCTCTGGGGCCCAATCTCAACTCCACTTTTTATTTCCTAACATAAAATAGGATTACCTTTTGAGATTCAGTAAACCTTAAAACCTTTAATAAAAGGATAGTCTTAAACTGCCCTTTTAAATATTACATGATAAAACGTTATTCAGGTAAATGGCTCAATTCTGCTGAGAAGAAATTAACTTTTACTAAAGATAAAAGATATTTTGGAAAGCAGGAAATCACCAAGCTTAGGTTCATTCATTCACTTTTAACTAATCTGTTCCGTTTAATGAAAACACTAGACTCAAAATGAATATTTAACTACATAAACAACTTAATCTTCCCTAGTATGTGAATACACATATAAGATTTAAACCTATATTTCAATATATACCAAGATATATACACTTATTAAAATTTCGGGCACACTTCAAGAGGCTGAGGTGGGAAGATTGCTTGATCCCAGGAGTTCAAGGCCAGCCTGGGCAACACAGCAAGACCTTGCTCTATAATTTTTTTTTTTTTTTAATTTAGGCAGGCTTGTTGGTGCGTGCCTGGAGTCCCAACTGCTTGGGAGGCTGAGGCAGGAGGGTCACTTGAGCCCAGGAGTTTGAGGCTGCAGTAAGCCATGATCACGTCATTGCACTCCAGCCTGGGCAACAAAGCAAGATCCTGTCTCTCTCTCTCTCACACACACACCATTGAAGAGTACAGTACTAAGGATTTTTTTGTTACTGTTTTCAAGATATGATATTAATTCTTTTCACACATTTATCTGTCTTTCCCTTTCATGCTATCAAAGTATTGATGATTCCAAGTTTTAGGTTTTCTCTTGGATTCCAAGTAGAGTACAATATTCTGTTTTCTTTTCTTTCTTTTTTTTTTTTTTCCTGGGTAGATGACTCTATCACTGTGTTCCAAGAACTGAAGGATCTCCTTAAGAAGAATGCCACTGTGGAGGCTTTTATTGAATGGTTGGATACTGTGGTAGAACAGAGAGTTATTAAGGTACTTTTTAATGACAGATTCAGAAAATAAGTTCCTTGTAAAGAGTAAATGCTAAACTGGCTATAATTTTTTGTCTGGGGGGAGAGGGGTGGAAGGCTGTGTGTGTAAAGGCTTTGAAAAGCTTTTGATGCTCTACGAATAAGGCAGGCCAAATACTGAAATTAGGAATATGTCAAGATTTGAGAGCATTGGGCATGGATTCCATTATATTTCTCCTTTCTTGCCGAAAGACTACAAGATGCTCTGCCTTCCCTATCAGTCAATAACATTACAGCTGAGTAACATCAGTAGAGAAAGATAAACTTAGAAACTGGAATGATCTGGCCCGTTTCTAAAAAGCAAGATTTCATAAATGCTGATGGAAAACATGGTTCTAAGCATTTGCATTTCTGAATTCCAAAAGCTCAATATTTTGTGTTTTCTCTGTGGTTTCTTCACCTTCTTTGGTTAACCTAGTCACCCATTGTGAAACAAGCAATAAGAACAAATATATCCATCACTAGTTGGTGTTGGCCATTCCATATCAAGGAGACTAGTTATAGTTTGGAGACTTTTTTCCTTCTGTAAGGAAAATAGATTATCATTCAGTACCAAAGAAGTCAGAGTTAATCATTCACAAAAATATATAGCCCTTCCTTCACACCTCACCTTCTGTTCTTTTTAAAGCTCTGTCAAAGAAAAATTAAAAAATAAAAATATTTTGAAAATTATTTCATTTTGTTGTCTAATTCTATTAGGAAACAAAGCCATATTGAATAAAGACTTATTACCCTTAAAACATCAGCAAAGACAGGCTAACATTAAATTCCCTGGACAGATAGTTTTATTTGATGAAATAAATGCCATGCCATCTGTCCATTTGTTAGACAGTCTATTTACTTCTTGATCTAACACAGGATGCATGTAGTACTGAGAGGACGGATTTTATAGTTTCATTTTGTTCCTTTACTTTTAGACCAGCAAACAAAATGGAAGGTCATTAAAGAAGAGAGCTCAAGACTTTCTGTTAAAGTGGAGTTTTTTTGGTGCTCGAGTAATGCATAATCTCACCTTGAACAATGCATCCAGTTTTGGTAACATACGTGCATTATAAAACTGTTCTTACATGAATTATATAATTTGTTCCTCAGTCACAGTTCCTGTCAATTTTTAAACATGTTACATCATCACTTCTTAAACTGTATCTGAATATGGAGCTATGAGAAAATGGTATTTATGAGCCTGGGTTTTGGAGTCAGACCATAAGCAGGATTAAATCCTAACAATGATTGTCTCTGGCTATGGGCCAATCTGCTCATTGAAGAAGGGGAAGAATATTCTCTTCGAAGGGTTGTATAGGTACTTTGGTGAGATGATGTATATAAAAACAAATTGCCTAGCACTCAGGAAATGCTTAATGCATAGCAGCTATTATCATTACATTCCATCAGTGCTTGGATAAATTTTCTTTGTTAAACAAATGATAATTAAGACATTATTTTCCAAAGTTATTATTCATTGCAATACGGCAAATTTCTGCAGCTTTTCTGAGCACCCATATAACTGCACTCCAGGAATCAAAAAACAGCTTAGAAGACACACTGTCATGTTTCTGACCCATCTTTCCTGTTCTATATGACTTGGGAGACAAATAGGGTTAAGTTAGCTTTTTATAAAATTGAATGCCTTCTTTTTCCTTAGAATTCCTGAGACTCCTATTTTATAGTTATAATGTTAACTCATGAGTAGTAACTCTGCATTTGGTAGCTGCATTTCAGGAAATCTTCACATTATGAAAGAGATTACAATTAACTAAATTGTTTTTATTTAATGTTCTATAGAATTAAATAAAATCAGTGAATTTGTATTGAAGAATAAACAAAACACATTGTCTATTATTTGAAATAGACTTCCCATATTTAAAGTTTTATAAAATATACAGCATTGAAGCCTGGCCTTACTACGAAAAATACTTTTGTTGGAAAATCTATTGAATAGTTAAAAGAAGTTTTAGTTTTCCAGAACATATTTCACTTGAAAATTACTCTTTTAGTTTTTGCCAAATCTAAGAATATTTTGTTTCAGGCTAGAAAGATATCTCTTTACTTGACTTTTTTCAGACCATGTTGGCCATTGTCTAATTATTTAGTACAAAGTAAACAGAAATAGAGCAGAGTAGAGCTCATTCTCCCCAAGTTGAAGCTTATCACACTCCAATGTGTGCCCTCTTAAAGCATAAAGCATGTCTCACTTTCATCCGTATTTTCCTTTGATGTAATTAGTGGCCAAAGAGCTGGCAGGACAGTACACACAGTGAGCAGGGCAGGCAATACACAGAAAGATTAGAGATCCAAGTTAAGCATGTTGGTCTTAGCAGGTCATTTAAAGTCCAACAAGTATTTGTTTATTTCAGTTGCTCCTTGTAAAGTGTTGCGAGATGGTCACAAAGATAACTGACTTCTCTTTCCCTTTCCTTCTCTTTCTCTCCCCTTTTTACATTTCACACTGTCCTCTCCTCATTCTCCATCCATAAACAAGGTTCTTTTCATTTGATTCGAATGCTTCTCGATGAATACATTCTCCTGGCCATGGAGACCCAGTTTAATAATGACAAAGAGCAGGAGTTACAGAATTTATTGGACAAGTATATGAAGAATTCAGGTAACTTAAAATAACTGTTTTGTTTTGCATATTTCTTTGTTTTAATCTTAAGTTCAAGAATTTATAAGTTCAGATATTAAGTGGGTTTATCATAATCTCAGAGTTTTTCTCCAAACATGTCATTACTAATTCTCACCATACAGTCACACTATTGGAGCACTACTTTTCTTTCATTCATTGCTATGTAGTCAAAAGTACTTTACTGGAAACTCTGAAGTATACAAAATTGGTGATCTTAATTTCTGGGAATTAAGGTGAAGTTGGAGAAGTGACTATAATACAAAAAATAACTGTAATTCAAGACACATGTGGTATACTACATATGTAAGTGGTGTAAAAATAAGTTCTATAGGAGTTTAGAGAAGGAAGGAAACACATCTATTCAGGATAGGGCAACTTGCATTTTGAAGACTTCACTCCAAACTGGATTATTTAGTGCTCCTTATCTACATCCACATCCGCAAATATGCAGCTAAAAAAAACCTAGCATCACTGTCAAGAGCAAAGGTCTGCCAACCTCACTTCCCATGGGAAACATTGCTTAGTAGTTTCCAGATTAAATACTCAACAATGAAACATTTTCATTTTCTTTTTACTTGGGTTTATCTACGAGGAATGTGAGAAAAAATCTCAAATTTCCCATTTTAAAAACTCTTTCCAGATGCGAGTAAAGCTGCTTTCACTGCTTCTCCGAGTTCATGCTTTCTGGCCAACCGTAATAAAGGGAGCATGGTTTCCAGCGACGCTGTGAAGAATGAAAGCCACGTGGAGACAACCTATCTCCCTCTGCCATCCAGTCAACCTGGAGGCCTAGGCCCTGCTCTGCACCAGTTCCCTGCTGGGAACACAGACAACATGCCGCTCACAGGTACGCTAAAGAGAACTGCTTAGGCTCCAGCACATCTCAGAGAAGCCTGTTGCTTCATTTTTCTTAAAACTCATAACTTCCAGTCCAGGAATTCCAACAATAAAAAAGGATGATCTTAACTGAGTTTTAATAAAGATTTATAATATTTTTGTGATTTTCAGCAATGGTAATAATACTGTTATTAACACAGGTATCATGTCTTGACACACTCCATAAATTATATTAGAAGTATGAATAATTAGTTAATTTAGTGGAAGAAATAATTAGATGAGGTATACATAAAATTCTTAAGATGCTTTGAAGATCAAAAAAATGGGTTGCTTATTTCTGGATTTTGAGGAGACTTTATTTCTCCTCCCTTAAAAAGTAGTTTCGGGCTGGGTATGGTGGCTCATGCCTGTAATCTCAGCATTTTGGGAGGCCGAGGCGAGCAGAGCACCTGAGGTCAGGAGTTTGAGACCAGCCTGCCCAACATGGCAAAACCCCGTCTCTACTAAACATACAAAAAATTAGCCGGGCTTGGTGGCAGGCGCCTGTACTCTCTCTTGAACCCAGGAGGCGGACCTTGCAGTGAGCTGAGATCAGGCCATTACACTCCAGCTGGGTGACGAGAGTGAAGCTCCATATCAAAAAAGCAAACAAACAAACAAAAAAACTGGATTCGGCCATTTTAGGATAATCGTTACAATAATTCTCCCTTTTGGTCTAAGGTTCTCTTTGTGTCAACATGAATATTTGGTGGCTTGAACTAGCTACTCGGGAATATTTTAAATCTGCTTATTGCCTTGTGTCTTTTTTGAAATCTTTTTATATACATTACTTCATTTGATATACAGAATTTTAAACCTAGAAGAGCCTTATAGTTCAGGAGTCCATTTCTACCAATGGAACACTGGCGGCCCAGAGAGTTGGTGGCATTCATAAATCACATTACTTATAAGAGGTGTTTGCATGACATTTTGAATTGACTGCTTTGAAGCCATGGCCATTTTGACATTAGTGACTTTTTCTTTTTACCCTAAAAATCAAACAGTTTAACAATCAGCTAATTTTTTAATTATGGGGAAATATGAGCAGCAGACACACATGTCCTCCCCATGCTACCTGTGGAGAAACCATGAAGCCATCGCAGACTTTCCTCTGTAGTCACCAAATCCACGTCTCCACTGTTGTGATATATACATGTGTTGTGATTATATTTTTTAAATTCTGGATTTTTGGTGCTTTTCAGTTTAGTTATTTTTGGAGGGCAGGAATGAAGCAAGCTGGAAAACAATACATTAATAAATCTTTTGAATATTTTTTAAAGATGTGAGCTCATCTACTTTAATATGACACTAAAGGAATGTTCTGGTGATTTTTTCCAGGTCAAATGGAGCTTTCACAGATTGCTGGTCATCTGATGACACCACCCATTTCTCCAGCCATGGCAAGCCGAGGAAGTGTCATTAACCAAGGACCAATGGCAGGGAGGCCCCCAAGTGTGGGCCCAGTACTGTCAGCTCCATCACACTGCTCCACATACCCAGAGCCCATTTATCCCACTCTCCCTCAAGCCAATCATGACTTTTATAGCACCAGCTCTAACTACCAGACTGTGTTTAGGGCACAGCCCCACTCCACATCAGGACTCTATCCTCATCACACCGAGCATGGTCGATGCATGGCTTGGACTGAACAGCAGCTTTCAAGAGACTTCTTCAGTGGCAGCTGTGCGGGGTCTCCATATAACTCCCGGCCACCGTCTAGCTATGGCCCATCCCTGCAAGCCCAGGATTCACACAATATGCAGTTTTTAAATACAGGAAGCTTCAATTTCTTGAGCAACACAGGAGCTGCCAGCTGCCAAGGAGCAACACTGCCTCCTAATTCACCAAATGGTATTGATATTTAAAAGAATTTTTCTTGGTTTTTGAGATGGCAATGAGGCAAAATCAGACATTGCGTTCCACCTCTGCTGACTAGCATGTCCTTTCATTTAAGGCTTCCAAAGATCATGGAATCTTAGACATTTGGAGCTGATTTCTGTCACATACATATATATTTCCTAATTTTTGTGGCTTTCCTAAAGTTGCCCTTCTTCCTTTTTTTTTTTTTTTTTTTGAGACAAGGTCTTATGCTGTAGCCCAGGCTGGAGTGCTTGGCAGGATCATGATTCACTGCAGCCTCAAACCCCTAGCTCAAGCAATCCTCCTATCTCAGCTTCCCAAGTAGCTGGGACTACAGGCATGCATCACCATCCCTGTCTATATTTTAAATTTTTTCTAGAGACAAAGTCTCACTATGTTTGCCCAGGCTGGTCTCAAACTACCAACTTTAAGCAATCCTCTCTCCTTGGCTTCCCAAAATGCTGAGGTGCCTCCCAAAGGTGTGAGCCAACACCCCCGGCCTAAAGCTGTCCTCCTAAATACCGCATATGTTAAAAAAAAAAAAAAGATAGTTAAATCATATGTTTGAGACCTACCTTAATAGCCCCAAAGAAGAATGTTCTGTCTTTTGAAAACATTTTTAGTGGATAATATTTCTTCCTGATAACTAAAAGCAGATTTTAAAGATTGGGAACAAAACAGACCAATAAAAATAGGAAGTTAAGGGAATTAGAGAGACCTGTGACCTTGAGTCACCAAAATAGGCTTTGTGTGTAGGCTTCTTTGGTGTCTTTCTCCTAAGTGTAGGCCAGTCTTTGTCTTCCCTAAACATGCATCTATACATGAAAGTAGTATTTTTGTGACAGGCGATAGTGCTTTTTTTCCTTCAAAGGTAGATCTTGTTAATTTAGATAAGGGAAATCTGACAGAAGTGTAATCTGGTCTTAAAGTTAATACAATTCTTATGTCTTAAATTATGTATTATGCTATAATTATTGTATTAAATTATGTATGATGCTACAATTCTTATGTGTTAAAAAACACAAAAAACAGCACAGTAAACCTTATCCATGTACAAGCACAAATCCAGTTCTGTAGCATGTATAGATACACATGTAATACTTACAGTTTGATATCTTTAGGACGTCACCTCATTACTTTGTCACTTTTTTCCTTCCTGAAAGTTCTTTGTAGTAAGTTAACAGCAAATTCTCAACATTTTCTGTTACAGGATACTATGGAAGCAACATAAACTACCCAGAGTCTCACAGGCTCGGATCAATGGTGAATCAGCACGTTTCTGTCATCAGCAGCATTCGTTCACTGCCCCCCTACAGTGACATCCACGATCCACTTAACATTTTAGATGACAGTGGTAGAAAACAGACCAGCTCGTTTTACACAGACACATCATCTCCAGTTGCATGTCGAACTCCAGTCCTAGGTAAATTATTTTAGCAGTTCTTGAAAACATTTTAAGAAGTTGTTAACCTCAGGTATGCAACATTACTTGAGGGAGATATGCTGAGGTGAACTGAGCAAGCATGTTTCCACGGTTGATTTATTACCTTGGATCTAAAGTTATATTTTTTGTATCTGACTACACAGTTAGTAACAGTTTTTCATTTCTTATTCTGTATATCTCTATTATGCAACCTACTGCTAGATCTGTTACTTTTTACAAAAAAAATAGCTGGTATCTATTAAGTATGCAAAAGATTAATATGACCTGTCAAATGCAGTCTAAAACTGTAAGTTTTAAAAGGGCAGTAATAATATCCTTTTCTCACTCTTGATTAGTGTTGGACCCAGTTGTAGTGCCAAGAGATATCTTTAGGCCTCATGATCTCCATCAGTATCCAAAAATCACTCCAAGATTAAAAAAAACTGGTGTCCTGTGATGGGTGCTACTAGCATTTTCTCATTCTTATGTAAAATGTGATTCAACACCTCTGTAGAAAATGTTGCCATTTTTATTGCTCTCTAACATATCATGTAAGTAAAAATAAGAAAAACGTGTGCTTGCCGTGAAGCCTCCTGGAATCTTCTTCCAACCAGGTTACATTTCTTAATCCTCATCTATGAAGAAATTCTGCAATAATAATTAGTATGTTATTAGTAATAACATAGATTTAGTCACTATAGATTTAGTTTCTAAAAATACTAATAAGATTTCACAGGGCAAGTATATATTCACTAAGTATCAAAGCAGAGTGTTAATATTTATATGAGATGGTTAAAGTCTTCCAATGAGATTGATTTCAGACTAGCATAAGTAGAGGGCATTGACACGCAACCAGAGCATAAGGGAAAATGAAATCAATTTCATCTCTCCTCACTCAGTGTACCTTCCCAATAATTCAATAGGAAGTACTCCTTCTCTTCCTGTCACTGTCACACATGCTCCCTGAGCAGAATCTAGCAGCTCATCTTCTGCTATCTGCAAATGGTCATTGCTTCTAGGTTACTCTAATGAAGCAGAAAATTCCACTTCAGGAAGTTTTCTCACCATGAGACTAAAATGTACTGTGTTGCTATTGTTACTATTAGTTCTGTTTACCTGAAGAGATAGTGGAAGCTTTGACGAAACATAGGTTAAGAGTAGGGTGGAGTCTAAGCTTTAGTTTATCAGAGCTGGCTTACAAGTAGATTACAAAGTGTGCTGCAGGGTAAAATGAGGGGATAGAATAAGTGGATAAGTAGTGCAAGGAGAATTGAGTTCAACTATTTCTTAAGTATAAAGCCTGGTTCTTAGACAGAGAGCACGTCATGTCAGCAATAAGAAGGCAGCAACCATATATGAGAGAAATACAGGGCTAGTGAGCCAGTTAATGAATTTTATTGAGAACCGACTAGGAGCCAGACCCCATTCTAGATGTGAGGATATGGTGGTGATCAGGCCATAGTTCTTGCCTGTAAGAAGTTTACATTCTAGTAGAGGGACAGTAAGGCAATAAATACATGAGCAAATGCATTAAAAAGATAATGTCAAGTACTCTGAACCTGATTAAATAGAGTAAAATGACAGACAGTAAAGGAGGAGCTGCTTTCGGTAGGACAGCTGAGAAAGGAATCCTGAGGCAGAAACATTTGAGTTGAAAGCTGAGTGATGAGAAGGAGGCAAAGATGTGAAGATCTGAGGGAGGAGTTCCAGGCAGAAGAAACAGTGAATGCAGAACCGCTGAAATCAGAATAAATTTGAAAAAATCAATGGGCAGAGAGCAGGCCAGTGTGTCTTAAGCATGTTGAATGAAGGAGAGAGTAGAGCAAAATAAATAAAAAATCAGGGGCCCATCTACATAGGGTAAGATGCTTGGTTCATGTTCCAAGGGTATCGGAAGCCACTATGGCATTTGAGACGAGTGAAAGTTTGATCTACTCTTCAGCAATATCATTCTGGTTGCTCTCGGGAAGGTGAGTGGGTGAAACAAAGGTGGAGATCATGGGACCAGTCAGGAGGCTGCTGTGTTGGTCCAGGAGAGAAAAGATGGTGGTTTGAACTACAACCGTGAAAGTGCAGATGGAAAGAGGAGGTTGATTGGGGGATATATTTTGGCGGTAGCACTTAAGTTGAAATGGAGTTTTCTTTGTGAAATATGTAGAGGAAATAATTTCTGGGAGACTAGCAAGTGGGAACAAATGGAAGAAAAAATGATTGCTCTGGTAAACCATACAGACTCAAATTTAGAATAGGTATGTGTGCTAAGTGCAAAAATAAATACAGGGTATTAAAATGAGTGGCATTTGCAGAGAAAAGAAAATGTCAATCAATTTTCAATTGCTGATTATATTTTCCCTTACAGCTTCCAGTTTGCAAACCCCAATTCCTTCTTCCTCATCCCAATGTATGTATGGAACTTCCAACCAGTATCCAGCTCAAGAAACCCTGGACTCCCATGGAACAAGCAGTAGAGAAATGGTGTCCTCTTTACCACCTATCAACACTGTGTTCATGGGAACAGCAGCTGGAGGCACTTAAACCACCAATGTGGGAGGGGGTGCTAAAACTTTAAAAAAAATCTCTACTGTGCAAATATCATTATTCACTCAGACTTCCATAAGAGTAAATAAAAATGAATATGCAGTGGCTGACATTGTTTTAAAGTCACTGGTACTATGGACAACTCCATAGTGAATGGAGATACTTGCAGAGCTTGTCATGCACACTAAGAGTTTAAAATGTGAGCTCATTATTAATCATAGTTTCAAAATTATCAAATAAAACCAGTGAAGATCTGAAGATGCAAACATTTCAACTATGAAGATTTACATTTCACTTTCTAATTTATTAAACATCTGTGTGCCTTTTTATCTTTGGTTTCTTTTAAAAAGTATATTTAATGCCTTTACAATACCTTTAATTTATTAGGATCTCAGAATCATTGTTTACTATCCCTTATTTGACAAAAAGTCAAATGTGTATGTTCTACCTCCAACGGAAATGTTTACAAGGTCAAGACTTAATTCAATTCAGACAAGACCAAAGTTGCTTGACTTCAATTCCTGTGCATTAGTGTGATGATTTCTGTCACATAGCAGCATTCCGATTCTATGTAACTGAATGGAGATGATAAGTGCTTTCCCCTCTTTATTTAAAAAAGATTAAAAGGAATAAAAGAAATAATGTATGGAAATATTTTTAAAGGCTTGGTGCTCTTGGGGCTGGTACTGTTTCTGAAGAATGCTGGGGATTTACTCTTTAATCTCAGCTCCTTTGGAAATGAGATTAAGGAGTCAAGTAGTGTGGTTAAACACTATAATTTAAAAACATTTGCATATCATATCCATGCCTATACATATAAAGAAATTGTGAATTGTAGACTATTTGAACCTTTTCAGATTTAGAAGCAGTCTTTTACCAAGTACTTTCTTATACATTGAAAGTCAATGAGTGTTCAGGGATTAGCTAGATGCAAAGCCTAATTCAGAAGTGAAGGAATCATTACATATAAATTAATACAATTTGATAACACTATCTATCTTTCTACCTCTGTTTCTTTTTCTTTTCCATATGTCTTCACTGAAAGGTCTGTTGTAAAGTTCCTGGCCTGTGGTAGGAGACTTCCATAAACTTTACAGGCTTCTCCTATAGTCTTATGACAAGCCTCATATTATTTGTATTAAGGATTAGGTTACACTATAAACCCCAGGTACATCGTAAAAGGATCTATAAGACCCAGATACTCATTATACATCATGATGGAATTTGGTAAAACAAACTGTGGAATTTTTTTCAGCAAGCAATAAACAATTATCTGTGGACCTGTCAGAGTATTGCTACCATTTGCTTAGTTGTATGTTCAACAGTATGCAGTTTATAATTTAATTAATTGAACAGAAAAAGATTATAGCAGTAACAAATCACAAAGAATAGCAAATGTTCTATTCTTTGATCTAGAAATATTGTAGAAATACAGAGGAGAAAATTAATAAAGACTTGGAATTAAGTAGTAAACAAAACAGCTTTAAAAAGCGTTTGGCCATAAGTCTTGAAAGTTAACCAAAATTTTAATGTATACTAATTAAATACATGTTCAGCCTCTATGTGTCAGACACTTCATTATATAACAACATGGAAGATACAAAGATGGGAAAGACACTGTCATACCTTATACATTTTTGTGTAACAATGTAGGGGTAATGTGATAGAAAATAGAAGCTCCTAGAGGATTTTTGAGTAGAAAAGCAACGTGGGGAAAGTGATGTTTAGGGAATATCTAACACTAGTTGGAGAGAGGGGCTGAATTGGATAGCGGAGAAATTAGTCTGAAAAGGGGGCTATTTGGAGGTTGTTTCTCTCATCTAGATGTCCGGTGGATAAACACAGAGAATACTTGGAAGCAGAGGGAATGAGATCAGGGAGAGAGAAAGAAGCATCATTTCAAAAGAATGTATTTAAGGATTTTCTCTAACCCTGTTTGCAAAGGATTTCCCTACCCTATTTGTAAAGCATTGCAGTGTAAATAATTTGCCATATATTGATGCCCTTTTTGTAAACGAGAGAAAATGACCCAGAGCAGGGAGAAGCTTACAAGACATGTGAACAGCATCTCTGGGTCTCATTTGCACCTGGCTGATAACAAGGTGCTCAATCTTGACGTCAAGAGACAGATGACTAACTTGCTCTTTTTGCCAGACAGTGGGACTTGAGTTTATCTCTGTTAAATGCATAACAGTGTTTCTCCATGCAGGCACTATTGGCTTTCAGGCAGGACAGTTCTTTTATCTCACTGTTCTGCATATTGCACAAGATTTATATCCCTGGCTCTCAAACACTAAATCTCAATAGAACTCCCTTTCCCAGTCACTGTGACAACCAAAAACACCTCACATTTTTTCAAATGCCTCTGGAGAGGCAGTGCTAGTTCTCCTTGAATTAAAGGTGACAACATCTTTAATTTTACCTAGAAGGAGCATGAGACAATATAATACCTCTCTGCCCTTCAGTTACACTCATCATTTAAAAATGGTTTCCTTCATGGATCTAAGCCTGGGTGCTCAAGGCATTTTCTGATATTCTTGTTAATTTTAATAGGTTAAAGGATCTTGCCTAGCGTTTTAGTGTTTCTGTTTCCAAAAGCAAGTATATTATCCCTCAAGTAGTTTTTAGAAGTTGTGAAGTATCAATTATAAAGTGGCCTGTTTCAGCTAATGCTTATGTGAAATGCAAAATTAAGGTTAGAAATCAGAATTCAAAAAATGCTTGCTTTACAATTCAATTATTTTATTTTCTTTTTCAATTTTTAAACTTTTTGTAGAGATGGGGGTCTCTCTATGTTACCCAGATGGGTCCTGAACTTCTGGGCTCAAGTGATCCTCCTGCCTCACAAAGTGCTGGGATTACAGGCATAAGCCACCGTACCAGACCTATAACTCAGTCCTCGAGTAGTATTTTTCAAATGTTATGTTACGGTGTGGTGGCTGCTATAGATAAAAGACCTATTGACAAATGAATGCTCCAATTCACTCAGTAGATTTTTTTTTTTTTTTTAGACGGGGTCTCACTGTCTCCCAGCTCGAGTGCAGTGGGCGATCACAGCTCACTGCAGCCTAGGCTTTCTAGGCTCAAGTGATCCTCCCAAAACTCCTGAGTTCAAGTGACCCCCTGCCTCAGCCTCCTGAAGTTCTGGGATTACAGGAATGAGCCACTTCAATCCTGGCTTCAGTAAATTCTTAATAGAATTTAGAGACCAAGAACCTGTTTTACAACAACTTAAAACCCAGCTATGTCATTAACATAGAATCACATATCACAATGGACCTGGTTTATTTTCCTCTCTGCAGGTAGTGTTGCACTAAGAAAAATTAGAACTCTCATCAGTTATATGTTCCCAAGCATGCTTTCAGGTCAGAATATTTAAACAAAAATTTAAGCTAAATTCCCATTATAGTTGTAATGTAAAATCCTTTCTCTTTGTTCCCCTTTCAAAGAAGAATCCAGGAGACCCTCAAGGTCTAACATGCCCAGAGCCTATTTTGGAAATGGAGGGGGGATGATTATCACAACGCCGAAACAGGGAAGGCACACTGGCATTTAGTGCCAGGACCATGCATGTGAATGTCCTGCAATGTGTGGGTCAGATTTGCACAATGAGGAATTGTCTTACTTCAAAAGCCAATAATGCTTCTATAAGGAAATGAAGGCAGACCAGTAGGCTATGAGGTGGTTGCCACAAAGCTTTGCCCAATAATGACGCTTCATATTATCTAACATCTAACTAATCCAATCAGATAATCTCAGATGCTGGTGAGGTTGCAGAGAAATAGCAACACTTTTATATTGTTGGGAAATTAGTTCGACCATTGTGGAAGACAGTGTGGCAATTCCTCAGAGACTTAGAACCAGAAATACCATTTGAGCCAGCAATCCTATTACTGGGTATATACCCAAAGGAATATAAATCATTCTATTATAAAGATACATGCATATGTTCATTGCAACACTATTCACAATAGCAAAGACATGGAATCAACCCAAATGCCCATAAATGAAAGATTGGATAAAGAAAATGTGGTACATATACACCATGGAATACTGTGCAGCCATAAAAAGGAATGAGATCATATCCTTTGCAGGGACATGGATGAAGCTGGAAGCCATTATACTTAGCAAACTAATGCAGGAAGAGAAAACCAAACACTGCATGTTATCATGTATAAGTGGGAGCTGAACAATGAGAACACATGGACACAGGGAAGGGAACAACACTTTCTGGGGTCTGTTGGGGAAGGGCAAGGAGGGGAGAGCATTAGGGAAAAGAGCTAATGCATGCTGGGCTTAATACCTAGGTGATGGGTTGATAAGTGCAGCAAACAACCATGGCACATGTTTACCTATGTAACAAAACTGCACGTCCTGCAAATGTACCCTGGAACTTAAAAAAAAAATTATAAAAAAAACATCCTCAGGAACTGTGACTGCAAAACTCACACATAGCCTAGAGAAAAAAACAGGCAGAAGAGTAAGGCTGGGAGAGGGAGACAGAGAAAAGCAGAGGTAGAGAGAAGCTGAGTTGTGAGTAGGGCCCTGGGCAGCAATGGTTGGCCCCCTTTGGTTGGCCTCCTCTAATGGGACACTGAAATGACAGCTTCCCAGACCTGCAGTAGAAACCAGAGCTGCAGCTGTGCCATCTTGACCAATGATAAACAATGCCCAGTTCTCTTCTGCCCACTTACTTGAGTTTGCCCTTGGAAACTTAAATGGACGTGGTCTTTGTATAGTCACTCAAAGTACAGCTGCTTTAACTATACTACCAGGTATACTACAGTATGTTTCCTCTTCTGTAGAAAATTTTGATAAATAATACATTAGTGGTTCACTGATTTTATTTTTCAACAAATAAATCTCTTCTTATACAAATGCAGTCCATTAAAATAGGACAAAAAAATACTGTCAATTCTTGAAAGTCAGCCTAGGTAATGCATTTTCCTTCCTTACCCCTCCAAAAAGGAGACAAGAGAAGAGAGAGAGAGAGAGAGAGAGAGAGAGAGAGAGAGAGAGAGAGGAGGCAAGAGAAGGAGGGGAGGGGAATAAAAAGGAGGGGAGTGGAGGGGAGGGGGTAGGGGAGGAAAACCTTTGAGATACATCTTGTGAAACCCAAACCCGAAGTTCTAACTTTTTTAAAAAGCAGGACGCAAATGAGAGTGATATGTCTGAACTCCCTGGAAAGGAATATTACAGGGACTTCGGTTTCTTTATAACAGGGAGTGAAATTAATTGCCATACAAATGTTACAATAGCAGCTA
Source organism: Homo sapiens (assembly GCF_000001405.40). Lineage (NCBI taxonomy): Eukaryota > Metazoa > Chordata > Mammalia > Primates > Hominidae > Homo > Homo sapiens. Next base: position 116,936,774 of record NC_000006.12, read on the forward strand.
TGAGCTCTTGTAAGGCCTGGAGTAGTAAACTGTTCACGCTGTATTTTGAGGATGGATTTACAATCCAGGGTGAGATATAGAAATTTATACAAAAACCTTCCAGAAAAGTAAACAGTAGTGATTATGGCATACAGGACATTTTGTTCTTTGGGAAAGATAAGAAATGATGAATTTATATAAAAGGTTATTATACCATCTCATTCAATTATTGAATTTTAAATTAAATCCTTGAGTTTGTAAATGGCAGAGAACACAACCTGTCCATTTCAAAAGCACACTGATTAAATGAAAAGAAAATAAATTGTAGTTATTCCTTGATTATAGGCATTAGCAATGACTGGAAAAGATTGGTAGTTGTAAGCAGACTCTGAGGAATGATCTATTCACTAATTTTGAGACATTTAACCGTAAAATAAGGTCTCTGTGTTCTTACTGATAAAAGGCTTTAATTAGTTCTCTAATATCAAAACCTTATAAATACAGTTTGCTTTTCACTGATCTTGGCTATATAATACCATCATAGAAATGTTTTCTATTATAAAAACAATTTATTTTCCACAACAAGCAACATCAATTTTTACTTAGTTTTTTAAAGAATCTAATCCAGCTGGAGAGGTCTCTGATTTTTCCCAAATCTCTCTTTAAAAATCTATATTTTCAAAAATATTCATGCGAAGTTTATGAGGATAAAATTGACCCCTTGTTAGTTTGACCCTTTTACTTGTCATATGATGAGGTTGTAGTAGAAGACTCTGTCCATCCAATGACATGGGAAGCTTTGGACATATAAATGTAAAATAACTCTAGATTCTTGTTCCTATTAAAAACATTATCTCACTATTTACAAATATTTCATTTGATATCAATGTTTAAAATCTATCAGTTGCTTGAGTATCATTTTCTTTCTTTCTTTCTTTTTTTTTTTTTTTTTTTTTTTGAGATGGAGTCTCACTCTGTCGCCCAGGCTGGAGTGCAGTGGTGCGATCTCGGCTCACTGAAAGCTCCGCCTCCCGGGTTCACGCCATTCTCCTGCCTCAGCCTTCCGAGTAGCTGGGACTACAGGCGCCCGCCACCACGCCTGGCTAATTTTTTTGTATTTTTGGTAGGGATGACGGGGTTTTACCGTGTTAGCCAGGATGGTCTCGATCTCCTGACCTCGTGATCCGCCCGCCTCGGCCTCCCAAAGTGCTGGGATTACAGGCGTGAGCCACCGCGCCCGGCCTATTTTCTTTCTTTTTAAAAAACGGAATTAGGCTGGACACAGTGGCTCATGCCTGTAATCCTATCATATTGTGAGGCTGAGGCAGGAGGATTGCTTGATGCCCGGAGTTTGAGACCAGCGTGGGCAACATAGTGAGACCTTGTCTCTACAAAAAATAAAAAAAGTCAGCCACATGCATACCTGTAGTTGAGCTACTCAGGAGGATGAAGCAGGATGATCACTTGAGCCCAGGAGGTCAAGGCTGCAGTGAGCCAACATTATGCCACTGCACTCCAGCCTGGGTGACAGAGCAAGACCCCCTCTCAAAACTAGACAAATAGCCGGGTGTGGTGGTTCACACCTGTAATCCCAGCACTTTGGAAGGCTGAAGCAGGCGAATGAATCACTTGAAGTTAGGGGTTCAAGACCAGCCTGGCAAACACGGTGAAACATGGTCCCTACTAAAAATACAAAAATTAGCCGGCCCTGGTGGCGCCTGCAATCCCAGCTACTTGGGAGACTGAGGTGGGAGGATGGCTTCAGCCCAGGAGGCAGAGATTGCAGTGAGTCGGAATTGCACCACTTCACTCCAGCCTCGGCTTCAGAGTGAGACTGCCTCAAAAAATAATAAATAAATAACAGAATTAGAAAAGCCAATGCATGAATATTGTAATGAGATAACGTTGTAGTGATCTCAGGTTGGTTAAGTTTTAAGAAATGAATGTGTTGAAAGTTCCAAGAAATAGTCCCTTTTATCCCACATTTTAATGAATATGTCTGCTCACACTGGTGATAACAAGAACAGACAAGATTTCTTCCCTCATGAAGCTAATAGTTATGAGGGAGGGCAGACAATAATCTAAACATTTGCACAATTAATTACAATTAAGAAATAATTAATTGAAAATGTGAAAAGTGAAGGCTGCTGAGAGAAATGATAACAAGAGTTAGGCTCATGCAGGTGTGTGCAGGACAAGGTATAGGGCGGGGATAGCTGGTCAGGGAAGCTTCTTGGAAGAAGCAACGTCTAATCTGAGACCTGAAGCATGAGTAGGAAGTGGGTGGTGATGGGGAGAAACTTTCTGGTGGAGAAAGAGTGGTGGCGAGCAGCAGAACCGCTTGTTCAGGACAAGAATCCAACATGTGAGGAACTAAAGACTGGTCATCAAAGTTGAAAAGATGTGGCAGATCACAGAGAGCTAGGGAGAGCGGCCAGAACGAGTCGGGAGAGCGACTACTGAGGCTTTCAAACTGTAATGGTGATCTTAGCGATTTATTGTTAAATGTGAGAAACTTGTGTGATTGTGAAGATCTATAAAGAATTAGAAGAGGCTGGTAAGAATGCCTGAGATTTTTATAAACTGAAATGCTGAAACATTTTCATGATGAGAACAGCCTTGCTCTCCTAGATTTCACAGTTAAAAATTATTTAATAGGCTGTAAGTCCCTTTTATGTGTCCAAAGACAACACTTAATCAAGAAAATTAATCTCATGAGTTTTTTTGTGGAAGTTTCAAATTGGATCTCTTTTAAAAATGATTTCAGCCAATATAAACAAGTTTAGTAGAATTTTCTATTCTTTTCCCCTACAAACTTAATCCCAGACATCCTTTCTTGAAAAACACACTTAGATAACAAGAAGAGGAAAAAGTATGTGAATTCTTTTAAATGGTGTTTTCCTTTATTTCTGGCATGATTGATTTTAACCCTAAAATTGAAGAGAACTAAAGGTGAAGAGGTCGAAACCAAGATTTTTCAGTGTGATGTAGTGACTTGACCTCCTTTCTCAAAATAGATGTAGAGCCTCCAAGTAAGATTTGGGTGAGAAACACACTTACAAAAGTGAAAAATTAACTACCCAATATGATACCCGCTCTAAAGTAAAGAGAAACCATTGTTTTTATTAGTTAAAAACAAGGGTGGAGTTCTTATCAATCAATAGTCAGAATAAGGGTCAGAGATTTACAGCCTTCAAGCATCTTTAAACACACTGAGGCAAATATGAGCTTTGTGGGCAGTTTGTTAATCAAGCTTTGTCATTTGGCTTTGTGTACTTTAGCTTATTAATGCTTTACACATGACCTCTATGAAAAAATAAAACTTTTCATGTTTTTTCATATAATATTTTTATATTAAAAATGGCAACATTTCTTGCCTGTGAATTTCAGGGGTAATATATTTGTACTATCTGCTACCCCTGCCTGCTACACACATGCCGTTTTCCACGTGTTTCTTATTGTCTGGACCCCTGTACAATGTATTGTGCCCATTTTGACTTTCTACTCCCCAAAGGAAGACTCACCTAGAAGATGTGCCTGAAGGTGACACCTGATGTCAGCATTTTTACAGGAAGCGGGATATTCAGTTGTCTGGGGAATTTGAGACACTTGGACATCAAGCCAGCAGAACAAAGTCTTCCGGGGGAATATTGAACCTCGGATGAAAGATAACCCCTTAGCATATCAGTGGTTCTCTTACATACTGATGTTCCCCAGGGAGTATATGGGAACAGTGGCCAAGAACTAACTATTAATCCTAGAAACCAGAAAGAATTGCTTGTCTTTGGTCCATGCTTCAGTGCTAGATGGCTTGACCTAGTGAAAGTCCAGTATAGCTTTTCTTGGGCTCCTTGATTTGAGAGTCAGATGGGGGTGCAGCAGGCACTAAGATGTGTCAGGATGATGTAGGCAAGTCTCAAGCTTTCCCAGGAAAGACATCTCTTCAAGATTCCCGTACTCATCTCTGTGTCATAGCACTGAAGTGGCTATTCAAGTTTCTATTAAAATATAATATTAAAATATAAAGACAGAATTAGCTAAAATATGAGTTTAAGGTAGAGACCAAATATGTATAATTTTAAAACTCTTACCACAGAGTCAGATGGATCTGTGTTTTTAACCACATTATTTGTGTGATGATTTAGATAACTTCTCAGAGAACCATTTTTCTCATCTGTAAAATGGGTTTAATAATAGTACTTATCAAAGAAGGTTTTTGTGAGAATTAATTAAGCCATATAGCATGATGGTTCTTGACACGTTGTACAGGCTCAATAAATAGCAATGGTTGCTAATTATCATTATTATTCTTCAAATCCCATGAAATCAGTAGCAGTAGTAAAAGCAATGCAGACCGTTCTTTTATGTCTTTATGTGTAACATGAACTGCTCTATTGCTAGAGTTGTCTAGTAAGATAACGTAGGCCAGTGCCAATTAAATAAGAATTTATTATGTAAAAGTAAAGGGAAAAAAGCAAAATGTAGTAAATCATTAACTACTCCAATGTGGTTTCATAGAGGTGATACTCATGGGATAACAATATGGTCTGAATTGTTAGATATGAAAATAAGATTACAAGCAATATTTTAAAACAATTTGTTTTTATACATATATTACTGGTTTCATACAATCATACAAATTCTTTCTCTATTAATCAGTAATTCTACAGGAGAATTGTCAATGTTTATTTCAGTCTAATTGTATTTGTTTTCACAGACCTGCAATAAAGTCATAAAAACATGAAATTTGTCCGTGAAAATTTCTATTATAAAAAAGTATTTTTCATGGATTAATTTTTCTTCCTTAAAAGTCATTTAAATTAATAGTTCTACAAGCACATGTGATTAAATTTATAACAAAAAATTATTAATGAATTGGACATTTCTAATGTCTTCATAACTGCTTAGGGACAAGGTGCTTTCTGATCTCTTCCTTATTATTATAAGGAAGACCTTCACGCTAGTCAAAAGGCCAGTCTCCCAGGCCACTAAGCTGTACATCCAACTGTCAATTGAAAATCTCCCCCAAAATGTCCCCCAGGCCCGTGAAGTTCGGTGTGTACAGACTTGGAGCCATTTGCTTCATTCTTGTTGTATTCTGACCATGTATTTATCTCCTTGTTATAGTGCCACAAAAGCCAGAAACCTGGGAATTATCCTAAATGCTCCCTCATTGCCCCCTCTTCTGGTCAGTCTTTTCCTTCTAATTATCTTCTTGAGCCCTCTCATTCTCTTTATCTTCGTGTACAACCCAGTGCAAACTCTTCTTGTCAGGACTGTGATATTAGCCCAATTCAATCAGTTTCTCCATCGTATCTGGAGAGATCTTTCTTAAATACAAAATACACCTCTGCTCAAGATTCCTCACCTGCTCCTCTTTGACCTCGGAACGATGCCCACTCTCGTCTGTATGAGTCTAAGGTTTTTTCACTTTTCCTGCCTGGAGCTAGTATTGATCATTATAATGTATACACTTTTGAGGACTTCATCTGCAATTGGAAGGCTTATAGAATTTTTAGATGGCAAAAATAATCACCGTAGGTACTGGGATTTCCTTTGTGTTTTGTTGTCAGAGTAGAAAGTGTAGGAATATAATGATAAAGGATCAATAGAGATGAAATTGCTTATAAAAATCAATAGCTTTAATGGCTTTAAATATTTCAGGACATTAGCATTTGACACAAACAACATTGAAAGAAACCTTATTTAATGGACGTTTCTGGCTCAATTCTCAGTCTCTTTAATTTGTGACAAAGTGATATTGAAAAGCTGAGGAAATACCTTGATAGACCCCCATGACATAAAGGTATATCGAGACTTAATTGAGGCAAAGGCTGAGATAAGAAAATTAATACACAGGAATTTAATAAACTCTCTCTTCTGCCCCTCTTGTGCTTGGCTGATTTTTTAATCTTCCGGTATAGGTGTCTTGTTCCCAAAGAAGTCTCTCCTGAAACTCTAAACTCCAGGTTAGTGTTCCTCCCATAAGCTCCCATTAGGTCCTTCCCCAATATGGCACTTATGCTATGTTATTTTTCTGTATCCTGAACTAGACTATATACTCTGGGATGGCTGAGGCAATTTTCAGGTTTATTGATATAATCCTGCAATAAATACATGATTAATTAAAATTGCAAGAAAACACCATTAAACTCAGAATAAGAGTAGTCACCTTTGGGTTCATCACTCAAGATGCTGTGCACCAAATAACATCTTGAGGCCAGAGACAGTCTAGACAACAATCATTGTCATCTAATGGGACTAGAATTGCACAAAGTATAGAAACTTAACGGAGGCTGGACTTGCCATGGCATAATTACCAATCTAAAACTCCTTGGGGAAGAAAGTTGTGTTATATATGCACATAAATTTTGTCTACTTACTTTTTGTCTTTAGATTTGATTTTATTTTGAATCAACGGCAGGGTTGAAACACAAGGGGGTTCTAAGAACTAATGTCTAGTTATTTATTTTCATAGACTACGCTCTCAGCAAATATTGATTAATGCAGTAATTGATTGATTGATTGATTGGGGAGAACTGGAAGATGCCTTTGTAAGTCACGAAACCCAAGTGTACATCCTAAATAAATGATTGTACTTTTGCTCAAGGAGACAGATGATAGGATGTTCACTGTATTCTCAAAGCAAAAAATTAGAACATCTTAAATGACCATCAACGGATGGATTTTCAAAATGAGTAAGTGTTCATCCAATGGAATACTATACTTGAGGCAAAATTAATGAAATCTCTACATATTAGGAATAAATTTTGAAAAGATCATGTTGAGTGGAAGTCCAGTTCAAAAGATTAAAGTCCAGTATTTATATAAATTTAAAAATAAAACCATAAAATAAAACTATTGTTTATAAACATACATATGTGATGAAAATATAAATATGTGATTGGGAGGTATGTATAGTTATATGTATTATTTTCAGTACATGATTACCTTTGGGAAAGGAGGCAGGGGGATGAGATTGGATGAGGGTCCATTTGTATGTGAAAGACTTGGTTTCATTTTTAAAAAGATGCAAAGCAAATATAACAAAATGTTACATACTTGTTCAGGTACGATGATGGATACATTGATATCTATTATATTTTTCTGTGTACTTTTGGTAACTTAAAATATTTCATAATGATTTATTAAGGTAAAATAAAAATAAGCCATAAGAAAAGAGATCCTATTCAGTTTCAAAAATTCAAATATAATTTACCCATTGATATTAGTTGAACAGTACAGCAGTAAGTGGAGTAAAATATATGCTATTGAAGTTAAGGGGTTATTTAAGTCTCATTAGCAAACGTTTATATCTCCAGGGAGGCTAATTAGTCAGTAATAAATGTTTTGTTAGAGAAGATGGAGAAGACTGTTTTTCCTTTGACAAAATACATATTTTTTCTAACTATAATACAAAAGCAAAAGATGCTTAGAAATGCATAAACTGACCTCTCATAAGTAAAAACTATAAAACATAATTTTACACACATACACATATAAGCCTATGTGCACATATGATTTAACAACATGATTCTATGCATATTGGTTTACACTTATGTATTATATGTGAACCTTTTTTTCTATATTAACTAGCTTCCTTCGACAGAAAATTTTGGTAGCTGTGTAGAGTTTCTAAATATGGATATTTATAACTTACTTAACCAATTCCCTACTGTTGGATATTTAAGTGGTTTCTAGACTTAAAAATATATAAATGTAGTGATTTCCTGGTTCATTGGAAATAATATGGTTTAGAAGATCCTTCAATCCCCACATTTTATTTATTGAGCCCCAACATATAAATACACAGAGTTGATTTTTTTTAACATAAGGAGTCATCCAGGTGATGAGCTAAATTTTTTATGTATTTTCAGCATGTCTTATGTCCAGGAGACAAAACCAGTATAACACCCTGGCCACCTATTAGCATGTCTGGAAGTTGGCATCCCTAGGGTAGGACTACATCCCCACAGTGATTTTTATCTGCCTACTTTGGAGATAGGGAAAAGGGTTGCCACACTAAAACTGTTCAAAGTGAAATTCTTAGGGGATAATTAAATTGTTTAAATATTCTTAAATGGGAATTCTTTCCAAAATATTAATAATATTGATCAATGGATGTATTCCTCTAGTCCTTACAACAACTCTATTAATATATTTCTATTCATGATGAATGTCAGAAGAACCTGCTTTTTGATAGTTTTAGGGTAGACATAGCAAAATAACCTTGTTGGCCTAAATTCGCCGCCCCCCTCTCCAAAAAAAGACCTTTTGAAAGATGAACATCCATTTGCACTCAAATTAACTGTGGGCTTATCTTTGGAGACAGGTAGATGTGTGAGAATATGGCAACAGTCTAGGTAAGAGATGATGAACACAATGCACAATGGAGAACATGAGCAAGTAAAATTTAAGTGAGGGGAAATAGCATTAAGCAACCATGCTTAGTGAAATTCAGGCACTATGGAGGTCGTGATTTGATCCACTATCAAGGGCAATGTCACAATTCATTATTTCAAGTTCAGTTAATATTGATGAGGTATAAACACATGGCTTCCTCCCTTGAAATTATTTCTTCATGTAAACACACCTCTCAATAGCCTAGCAACTTGTCTGCCTTCTGCTTTCAAAGCTAGATTTATCATGCATTCCCTTAGATAAAAGGAATGGTTCAGACACATCTTCAACATCCCTTCCCAAGGTATAAAATCCAAATTTCTGCTCACGGTCAGTGCAAATAACCTCCAACAAGCAAATACTTTTCTGTTATATTAAGGAGAAAACCTACAGAAAAACCAACTTGAACTGGTTTTTCTGAGGCAGGTCTTGTGTTTGTGTTTGTTGGTGAAGTACAAATAACTCACGGGAGAAAACCCTATGCAACACATAAAATCTGTATGTATTACCTGGAATCCCTTAGGCTATTATAATTTTTATAATAGGTGAAGATGATACTGCAATACTGCAGGTAAAAGATGGTTAAGGCTTCAACTCTTGTGATGAATTTGATAGGTTTAAAATACTTAATAATTGAATGCTGGGGAGGGAAATGGTAGTAAGAGAGACAGGAAAGAAAAGAGCTGATCTGGAGACTAGGTATGTGGTGAGGCCGATAATTGAGTAAGAACTATAGGAAGTGTAGTCCTTCTGTCGGAGACATTCTGGTGAAGAGCGACGAGAGACATGATGATTTCACACAGTTTTGTGGTTTCTTTGAGGTCATGCCTGGACTGGCTTATTTCCAGTCTGGAACTCAGGGGAACTATAAAGGTTGAAAGTATGCACTTGATGGTCATTAAGATAAGGTGTTAGTTAAAACTGTAAGTAGTAAAGTTCTTTGCCTAGGGAGAGTACATAGACTGGCCAGAGCGGTGAACCAAAAGAAGATCCCTGAGAAACTTTTCTTTTTAAAGAGGAGACACAGAGAAGGCATCCTTATAGAGACTGAGGGCCAGAACTGGGAGAAGAAAAAGAGGACAGTTATAACTTGAAGTCAAGGATGTGGAGAGTTTCAAAAATATGTGCTTGTCAATAGTGGTAAACAAAACATAGATGCTCCATAAAAAGTTTGAAAAATATCTATTAGGCTTGGCAATATAAAGATTGATGGGCTTTGCTAGGGCAGTTTGAGCAAAAGCCAGTTTGTATGAGTTTAGATTACTCAATCCAAATGTATGCAAATTTAAATGTAAATAGGAAGTGAGAAAAGGTAGACAAATGAGTATAGAACACTCGTTAAAAACTTTTTCTGAACTTCTTGCACTTGAGAACATGGGCTACAGGGTTAAGAGAGGGATGTTTTATTTTGTTTTTTGACTGGAAGAAATTTAAGCATGCTTATGAACTACAGAGAAACAACTGGCAGAGGAAGGCATTGAAGGTATAAGAGAGACAGAGGTAGTGGATGGGGTGGCAGACAGGAAGCAGTATCTTTGGTTGCATCAGCAGGACTTGCTAATATTTTTCTTCTCACTGCCTTCCCATGGCACTCTCTATTCACATGCTATTCACCATCTATTCCATCAGATTCCTTGGTAGCATCTGCAACACTACTTATCCATTTATGAGCATTATTCTTCCAAGCCCTCCCTCAAAATCCTTGAAGAAGAAAAATGGGATAGCCTTGGTGATTGGTGAGTGAAAGCAGAATCTACACCAGAAGTATTTCTCTATTTGGTTGTGTGCTTTTTAATTGCTATATCGGCAATCAAGTGACCTAATCAGTTGTGTATCCCCCCTAATGATTTGGTATTCCTTGCCCAAAAGCAAGCCCTGTTATTAAAGTGAAACAGCCACAAAAATCTTCATAAGGTGGAGATTTCTACAAAATTCAAGTTATGCACACATCTCATAAAACTTTCTGACTGCCTGCATTGAATTAGGGTAGGATTAAGGCCACTGTACTATACACATGTATACAGAGAACACACAAAGATATATTACTTTTCTGGTGAAGCAGGAAGTTCTGATACAGCAATAAGGCACAGACACATTTAGGCTAGTCTAAAGGTAGATCTTAAATTTTTGGCTTTTTAATTACCTAGTGAAATGCACAGTAGGTGCATTTCCTCCATTGCTAACCCCCAGCCCACTTCTCAGATTCACTCATATACCCCCAGGAGTAACCTGGAGGACTGAGTGAGGTTTAGAAATGCATGAAGGTGTCCAGCTATTACATGATCATTTTTATAAGCTGAAAGTTTAGTGCTTTGTCATTTTAATTTCATTAATGTATGTGAAATTTAAAATGGTCACAATGTGAAAATTGCATGAAAGCAGCCTTGTCAGAAGGACACGTGACTTCCTTAGATTACTCAGTTCTAGCTTTTCCTCATTCTTCAAATAATCATACTTTCTATCAATGACCATCTCCTTTTTTTTCTTTTCCCATCTTTGCCTCTTGAAGTCTATGGCTGATATGACAATTCTTTATCCTCTGCCCCTACTCCATGGCCAACTATCACTACCTTTCAGCAGTCATTCTAGAAGCCTTTTCTGAAATGATCCATCAAAATACCAACCAACAAGTATTGCTAAGCACTAGGGACTATTATTCTGAGGGGTGGGAACATAGTTTATAGAGCCAACAGTCACTAGCAGCTTTGCTTCATTTTATTTTCTGGCACTTTTCTGTACAGAGAACGCTACTAACATTTAAAATCTGAGTTCTGAGCCTCAGAAACAGTGCAAAGAATGAGACATGGGCAAGAAAGGTGCTTGTACCATCAAAATGACCTGGAAGTTCATTGTTGTTTATAGTTTTTCACATCAGAAACTTGGATCTGATGTATTAACATCATTTGAATGACTTCTATTTGAAAAATAGGATTCGTAGAGACTCTAAGACACTATAAAAATTTTCTTCAAGTGCAGAAAGAAGCATATTAGTAGAGCAAACACCTATGGAAACCTGAAATGAATTTCCTCTCTTGTCATTTTTCTTCACAAATGAAGAACCTTTGTCCTGGAAACGATGATTAGCATATATCTACTGCAAAGTATATGTGCATGTTTTGGAGTTTCTTGGCATAAAATTGAGATTTGTGTCCTCTCTTAAAATTTAAAGAAGAAAAAGGAGAAATAAAATGACAAAAATAATGTAGTAGGACAAGAAAATAAAAAATAAAATAAGCAAACAAACAGCAAAAAGACACGCTATGGCTCTTTAGATGAAAAGAAATCAGCTAAGCACACATTTCCATTCACAGAATGGCAGTTTCTACACATGCATATTCAAAGCATCTTTAAATGTTCAGTTCCTATTGTAGCTACTCCATTTCTGTAGATTTTTTTTTCTTGATGGTGGCACAGATGGACTCACAATTGGAGAGAATGTAAAAAGATTCTATTTAGCAGGTGAACTAGGAAAGCTGACCTACCTTCCTCTGGCTTGGTTGATCATTACCTTTGATCAAATAAAAGACCACATGTTCCAGCTGCCCTTATGCCCTGCTTACTGCAGTGAGAGAAGGAAGGGAGAGAAAGACAGAAAAATAGAAAGAAGACTTAGACAAGATAGATATTATGTAAATTTGCATATCATCTGAAGGCAAGCATGTTTCATGTGTCCACATTCTTCATTAAAAAAACAATTAGATGAGTTGAAAACAGCTCACAATACATTTGTTTACTCTTACTGTAGAGTAAATGATAATCTCTTGTAACAAATTCAAACTTCTAAAATTAAAAATGTCATGCAATATGTTCATAGAAAAAAAAATCTGGATGCTAAGATAGGCATAAGGAAGAAGAGAGTGAGGGGTGAAAAGAATGGATGTAGAAAGAGAGCCAGAGAACAATTATTCTTCATGACTTCATATTGAAACCTTGAGGATTCAGATATGCAGAGATCCATACAACCACCTCTGCCATCTGGCCATGTGTAGTAATGATAGAATTCGTGGATTTCTTGATATACTTTGTGACTTTGGAAAATGCTATGCTTTAAGGAGCATTAGATACTCAACAATATCTTCTTGTTTTCCATTTGAGTTTACTACAATTGGTAGATATTTGGATTTAGACAAGATATTACTAAAAGGGAACATTCAAAAAATGAGGTTTTTGTTTTCCCAAAATGAATTTTAGAACTTAGTTCTCTTCTGAAACACACAGAAAGATACCTAAATGTGATAGAATATGAGGAGACAGATAACAAATTAGAATACATATCACATTTTTCTTAAAAATACTGTATGTAGTTTTTTTTCTTGTTATAAGTATAAATAAGAATATGTTGAGAGGGGTAATTTGGTATCAAATTGTTGATAATGATTTTCCAGGGTGGGAAAATTACAGGGAACTTTCTGTGTAATGATTTCCTGTAATCATTAAATTTTGTTGACTACTATTTTTAATTAGAAAAAAATCTAAAACATTTTGTCTTATAAGTTGTATTAGGAGTTGGTAATTAAAGTATAATTACAGTGGCTATCCTAGTCAATGCTGGATAATTTGCTAGTGACTAGGGGCTAATCTGCATTTTCTGGAGAATTCTGCTACTGAATAGGCCCTCTGAACTTGATGGCCTGTTTGAACTTGATGAATCACATTTGAGAACAGATCTAACCGAATACTTGCCTTGTTTTTAAGGAACTTCTTTGAATTATCCCATTTTATTGGTTTTACATCAAGCAGGAAATGATAGGCATATATTGAATGGTGACAGATATGCACTCAGTAAATTTAAGAGTTATTGTTGTAATTGTCCAAAGCAAAATGAAAGTCAAAATATAGTAGACTATTCGTACTTTTCCAAACCAGAATTAAAACCATAGCTGTTTAATTTGAACAAGAAAAGGGTTTTGGAGACTGTGTCTAATGAAGGTAAATAAATAAACTTGGAATGTGGGAAGCTCTCAAGTCTGAATGACAAAAGGAGTGTTTGGAAGGATGAAAGGTCATGAGAAGCCTGAAGACAGCCCTAGAATGATGTCACTCTGAGTATGAGATTGTCTGGGTCTCAAAGATAAGTATATCTTCTTTCAGTTTTTAAAGGAAAGTAAAGCTAAGTAAGAGATTTCATTTTATTCATTAACTTTTAAGAGACAAAGACTAAGATTTTCAAGTCGAAGCCTGAAAAAAATGTGACTGGACAGAGATGTCATTTTATTTGATGTTTCCAGGGCTGCTGAGACAGAGAGACTTGACCAGTGTGCAGTGTCCCGATAGAAACATGAGGATAAAACTCAAAGTGTATTCTTCTGACATCAACAAAGTCATTTGCTGAATTCTGATAGTATAATTTCAAATTGTAAAGAGAAGAACTTTGTACCTCATGGTAACCTGAAACCATATGTATCTAGTAGTAAAGATTACTTTAAGCTAAATTTGTTAAAATGGAATTTAATGGCCATAGGTATTCACAAAAGTGAAATCAGAATCTCTTCCTAAGTCACAGGGATAACAAGATCAAAATGTGTTTTTAAGATTTGTATCGCATCCTTGAAAGTTAACAGTGTGATTATATTATTGCTGCTCACTTTCAAAAGCTGAAAGTGTTCTGGGGGAAAGTGGAGAATATTTGGCTGCTGCAATGCATCATTAGTCTCTCCAGCTACACCTAAAAAAATGAATCAATAAGACTTTCACATCATACACAATTGTTACTTAGCTGTTGCTGATAAATTTCGTCTTTCTCAGGGAGATTTTGTAACTTGGATAAATAGATGCCTGTCATTCATTCCACAGTTGCCTCATTTCTGTGACTTCTTGAAAGAAGCATATCCCATGTATACACTGAGATAACTTTCAGTGTATACATGGCTAGACGATAGCATTTCTTTAGCATGGTATTGTCTGTAATCTGCTGTCTCCATGAAGAGCATCTGCAACTGGCTTTGTCAAACAGTCAGACTGACATCAAAGCTGGGGCCTTTGTGAGCCAGCAGACTGGCAAGATGAGCACAGCCAGAGGAGAACAATCGGTGGCTGAGGCACAGATGATGGGTTCCCGTGCTTTCTCTCACATCTGATTTACTTCATCTTATCAATGCTGATAAGAGCAAGAAAACTATCTGAACTGGACAAAGGCAAATAATAGAATATTATTAATGCATTCACATAAACATCTAAAAGAATACTTAGAACTTTGTGAGCAATATCAGGTTGATCTTTTAACTATGAATTGTGTTGGCCACAGTTTTTCCTCTTGAGGGATTTTAAGACTTTTCCACCTCCCATGTCACTGATTATGGACTGTGAAGTAGGATTTTTAAAATTATTATTTTAGTAGAGTCGGGGTCTTACTATGTTACTCAAGCTGGTCTTGAACTCCTGGACTCAAGCAACCTTCTTGACTTAGCCTTCCCAGTAGCTAGGATTACAGGCATGAGCCACAGCACCCAGCAGAATTCTTTATTGTATAGAATGCGTAGGCAGTGAATAGGAATACCTACATTGCCAAAATAATTTTCATTTCTTTGGAATTCTTTTTCTCATGTTAGCTTTAGTTCCTTTTCAAACATACATATTTTACATTTTTCATGATTTTCTATAAATTTGCTATCAATTAGGATAGTTATATATCCTAATTTGCCCCTAATTTGTGAGTTTATATGATGCTTTTTATACAGAATTTTTATAAACACTTATAAATGCATTGTATTAAAAATAAAATTATATATATATAGTTTTCTTAAACATAAATAGGACAAAATTTTATGAAGTTTTTGTTTGTCTTTTCATATCAATTTAATAAGAACCACTGCATACATATTCTGTCACATCCATGGTTTCAGGATAACATACATCACTGATGCAACTCAACTGCATGCATACATTTTTAGTAATTTGTATGTGCCCAGCAGTGTGCTTTTAAAGGTAAATTACTCCTCATCTTCCATCACAGGATAAAAGTGATTGTTTACCTATTGGTTTCCTGGCATAAACATGGTTTTAATAATAGTTTCTATTAATATGGTCATAGTAACTCCATAAAAAAAAATAAAAAACCCTTGAGTTTGTCAGAGGATCAGTAAGCTCACAGGAGACACTGGATGCTTTTAACTACTTTTTTTTTTTGAGACGGAGTCTCCCTCTGTCACCCGGGCTGGAGTGCTGTGGTGGGATTTCGGCTCACTGCAACCTCTGCCTCCCAGGTTCAAGTGATTCTCCAGCCTCAGCTTCCCCAGTAGCTGGGACTACAAGCACGTGCCACCATGCCTGGCTAATTTTTGTATTTTTAGTAGAGAGTAATTTTTGTAATTTTAGTAGTACAAAAAAACTTTGTATTTTTCACCATGTCAGTCAGGCTGGTCTCGAACTCCTGATCTCAGGTGATCTGCCTACCTTGGCCTCCCAAAGTGCTGGGATTACAGGCCTGAGCCACCATGCCTGGCCCCTTTTAACTATTTCTGTACCTTCATAACATCAATTAGCAACTCTCATCTCTTGAATTCCAATATACAATAAGCAGTCATCACATATTATAGCACTCTTTTAATAAATAATACATCTACATGTGTCTGCTATGTGCCAGGCACTGTGCTAAGTGTGTTATACACATGAGTAAACCTTCCCATCAGCCTTATGAGGTAAGTGCTATTGCTATCTCCATTTTACAGATGACAAAACTGTGTACGGAAGACAGGCAGGTTTCCCCAGACTCTATAGCTAGTAGGTAGTGGAAGCTAGAAGTTAAAGCTAGGCACCTTGAATAAAGGTTTCATTCTGAGCTATGACAATTCTGCCTTAGATGGACACTGTGGTCTCTCTACTCCTCACTCCCATCACATCCCTATCCAAGATTTATGGTCAGTTATTGTTGGCTTGGCACGAGCTATTTCAGAGGACTCTCTCAATTTCACCTTTGGCTCAAAGTCTTCAAATTATTTTTTAAAAAGGGAAGGAAGGAAGAAGGAAAACACAGAAAGAAAGAAAGAGAAAGGAAGAAAGGAAAAGTCTTAACTAATAATGAATTCTGTGATAGCTGGCAATTATTTCCCAGTTTTTTTTCCTCTCCCTGAATAGACATAATATGACAGATGTCAGCCAAAGAGAATGAGGAAGTTGATTTAAGTCCACTATTAAACCACATATTCACTTATTTTTTATTGAGGAACTACATTGGATTTAAAGGTAAAATGCCTCAAGAATTTGTTTTCAGATAGAGCAACTGATTGTAATAGAAGTAAAAATTTTATTATACTTCTTAACTGTACCAGGTACTTTAATACATTATCTCATAAAGACCACACAGCAACCCTGTTATGGAAGTAATTTTATTTTCACTACCTTATAGATGACGGGACCCCAGCTTATGAAGATTAAGTGACTCCCCCAAGTCCATGAACTAAAAAGTGGCAGGGCCATGACTTGGGCCCTGGCATGACTCCAAAGTTTATATTATCAAACTCTTTTTGCTGCATCTCCCAAATGGCAAAAGGTGCAATTTATGGTAGTTCAGACATTCTCAGGTCCACAGCGTGGGGATGGGGGATGGGACTGATTCTATGCCCTTTAAGAAGGTTTAACAGGTGCAAATTTGGCAACTCTTCTGCCTCTTCTTTCTGGGAATGAAAGACAGGGCCTACAGTTTTTACATTAATGCAAGTCAATATATTTCATAAGCCACTTATTTAAAAAATATTTTACCTTTCCCTGAATATTCTACTTGTGCTCTGTGAGCCCTCTCTATGATACCCACTATAGTACTCTTAGATTCCTGACAATATCATGACAAGTTAGCATGAAAAGTTTCCAATACTATGTGTCATATTAAAACTTGTCTTTTTAAAAAATAAATTCTAAAAATTGTGGGTACATACTAGGTGTATGTATTTATGGAGAACATGAGATATTTTGATATAGGCATGCAATGCATAGTAATCACATTATGGAAATGGAGTATCCACCCCCTCAAGCATTTATCCTCCATGTTATAAACCATCCAATTATACTCTTTATTTTTAAATGTACAATTAAACTATCTTGACTATAGTCTCTCTGTTGTGCTATCAAATACTGGGTCGTATTAATTCTTTCAAACTATTTTTTTGTACCCATTAACCATCTCCACCTCCCCTTCACCACTCCCCACTACCCTTCCCAGCCTCTGGTAACCCTCCTTCTACTCCCTATCTCCATGAGTTCAGTTGTATAATAAAAACCCGTCTTTACCCAGTGCTGACTAAAGAGACCTCTGCTAGGCAGTGTCTGGGAAATAATGTTCTTTTTAAAAAAAGATGGGTGAAGAGAGGACCTATCCTTCCCTTCCTTCCTTGTTGGTATGTTTGATGTCAGGACACACCACATGGGACTGCTGCAGCTATTTTGGGACCATGAAGAAGAGGCCAAGAGAACTCTAGAAAAGGCAACCCAGTTATCTAGCTGCATTGAACTTCTGAACCAGCCTGGGATGCACATTTCCAGTCTTCCTGTTATGTAAGCAGTAAAATATCCGTTTTGACCAAAACACACACACAAAAACCAAAACTTGCCTTTAACATCACATTCATTCTCTAATCCATTAATAATAACTCTCCATGTACGAGAGGAAACAAAACACCTTTGAAAAACAGCAGCAGGTAAGAAGATACTTTCACCTCCATTTATTTTGAATTCTATGACAGTCTTTCTTTTCCATCTCTCAGAGATAAATTTTTTCCTTTTTTTTTTTTAACTGATATGTTAAGCAAATCAATGCCCTAAAATCAGAACTCTGACGTTTAAGGAAAAAAAAAAAGCCCTGTAGTTTTTTTTTTCTGTACTTTGAGGGGAAAAATAGTTTACCTTCTCACTACAACAGATGGTTTTAAATGCAGTGATTACAAAATTCTGAAGGTAAAATGGTTTAATTACAAAGTCAATACCGCCTCTAACCTGGGCTGAGTCTTTAGCGTAAAAACAACAGACGGAGCAGTGCAAACGCTGGGACAATGTTTAACCAGAACTTTGCATAGCTACTGCAGTAGGGCTTTCCATGGGGCTTTAGTAAACCACAGAGCTCACGATTCTGGGTTTCTATTCATTGAATTACCTTAAGGTGAAGAATCATAAATGTGTGTATATATTTCACTATGCAATATACGCATGCACACACGCAAGTCTGATGGGGTCTACTCCTGGAACCTGAACCCCAATAGTATGAGATGGGGTTCAATTTCAGCAAAAATGAGTGATAAGAAAAAATTAAGGATACACAGAAAAAGGAGTTTGCCACAGGGATAAATTTTCGGTTCATTTAAAAAGGACATTATTCTGAAATTATATGTTAGTAAACTTGATTTCTAAACATTAAATTGTCAGTTTTTGCTTAAAATCCAAAGGAAAATTAATGACATAGTAGAAAATGATTCAATTGCTAGATGTTTGTAAAGATGTTTTAAAAACACACAAGAAAGCTAAGTTTGCTTTTTAAATAAAAAATTATCATCTTTTTCTAAATAGAAAGATGGGTGGATACAAAAATTATTCGTGGATTAAACCCTAATTCTTATTAAACTTGTAATACTGAAAAATCACTTTGAGTGCCTCTTGAAAACTTCCCTACATGCTGAATTACAATATACTTTTATATCAAATAACTCGGTTAGTGATTTCTTTTTTCATTTTATCCATTAATTAGAATGAGAACCATTCATGAAAACTGATGTAAAAGAAAAGTGCACGCGTTCTCCCTAAGGTGGCATATTCTTGCCTCACATCCACTAAGTATTTAATACAGGCCATTACAAGATAGTTTGGGTCATTGGACTAAGCAGATGTGGGAGGTACTAAATAGTTAAGTAAAATAAACATTTCGGATGGTCTTATCTCGGAGTCTTCTGATCTTAATAAATGTCACCAGAATAATCTAAAACGACTCTTTAGCAACTCTGCAGGGAATTAAAATCAGAAACATTTTGCGATTTCTAATCTGTTTAGGTTGCTCTGAAAGGAAAAATGCCTCATTCCAGCAGGCAGTGTATGGAATTATATTCAACAAAACTTGGAAAGGTTGGTGTTGAGGTTAAAATGTGAAGAAAAGTAAAAAGAAATAAATAGTGCATTCTAAAAATAAAATAAAAATGCCTTAAAAAGTGCAATTTTTAAAACATTACATTAAGGCAAAGTAAGTCAACTGAATCATAATGACCACACCTTAATATGTCTTTTGGAGAAGTGTTAAAATTTAATCGCCCAAATTCTTAGTTATAGGACATAGCTAACTGCTTGCCTAATTTCATTCTCTGCTACATGTTTTCTAAAAAGTCCTGAAGCAAAGGATGAACAATCTTAGCTTTTAAAACTCACTTAGAATTAAGGAATTCTTTGGTATTTCTCAGTGAGAAATTCTTGAAAACCATTCATTTGAAATTCATTTAATTACTCTTTCGTTTCCCACTCTCACGCCCCACTTAATAGGCAACCATTCTAATGTATTTAATGTACAGCTTTTTACATTTTGCACTGAATTAGAAATAGAGACAATTCTAGGTATACACCTAGAATTGAGTGCATAGAATTCACTGAGTGTATACCTAGGATAAGTAGGTATTCGTGAAAATTCACAGAGTGTATACCTAGGATAAGTAGGTATACTGTGCAACTAGTCCCAAGATCAAGAGGCAGATATTGCCAACACCCCACAAATTTTTTGTGTGTCCCTTTCAAGTCACTATCAGCTCAGAGAAACCACTATCCTGACTTTTGGCAGAGGTGATTGACTTTACTTATTTAGTACATTATATCAACGGGACCATACCATTTGCACTCTTATATGTCTGGCTTCCTTAGCTCAACATTGTGTTTTTAAGATACATCCATGTTTTTGTGTTCAGCTGGAGATTGTTCTTTCTTACTGCTGTATAATATCTCACTTTGTGAATATACCACTATTTATTGCCCTTAATTTTTGATAAACACATGACCATATTTCTGTCAGGCATATGCCTGGGAATGGCGAAGTTAAGTTATAATGTGTACAATATGTTCACCCTTAGTTAATATGGCCAAAGCTGGATGACAAACTGAATGTTTGTGCTGAGCCCTTTGTTTCTATGTTCTTATAGAAGATGAATTCTCATTTGGTATACACACAACTTTACATATATTAATGGTTTTATGTTATTCATCTCGTTCTGCTTTCCATGTTTTTTTCATTCAGGATTATAGATTTAAGATCCATGCACGTGGCTATGTGAACATCAAGTCTGTGACTTATAATTGCACATCATTATAGAATGAATAGTGACATTTTTGAAATAATGTTTTGAAATAATGTAATGTTTAACGACAGAGGAATGGTTTCATTCAACAACAAATTACTATAGGCCCATTTAAAACAAGTTTTTAAAGACTTTATGAAAATAATATTTTGGAAAAAGAAGGACGTAAAACTGTTTACAAAGTATAATCTAAATTTTATTTTTAAATGTATAATCTGCAAGGGAATATACCAAATATAAGTAATATGTACTATAGTATAAGATTTGTGGTGCTTTTTTCTTCTTTATGTTTTTGATATTTTCCAAGGATATTATGATCAAGAAAAGCTAAACAACAAAAAGGTAACCTATGAACTACAAAACAGAGTACTGTCTTTACATGAGCTAATATGTGTTATAAAACATTCTTTTAAATATTTTTATCATGTGTTTTCCCACTGTTTCACATCACTTTTTTCATAGTCATTATTTGCACTTTGTGTTAAGTCATTAGTTTCGTCTCTCAAATACAACCTTGTTTTAATGTCTTCACCTTTCTTCTACTTTAGTCTCTTCAATTTTGCCTCATTATTCATTATAGAGGCCTGCTAGAAGTCAGCACGTCCCTCTCTTCTCAATGGAGCAGCTCTCTCTCCCCTCAAAGCTAACAGTTGATATTTTTCATATTGTTGAGTGTTATGGAAAACCCACATCCTGTAATTGTGTGTTAAGATGCCTTTCCTCTTCTCAAGTTCATTTCTTAATTACCTGAATTATTATATCTAACCCACATTGATTATACTATAAGTGGTAATTGTTAACATTACTAAGTAGAAATAGGATCTCACATTAAATAGAGCTTTTCTGTGATTTTAATCTTTGTTAGGGCAAAAACGTTTGTTCCTCAATTTTGCTTCTCCTTTAACCTGTTCTTTGTCCTTGACTACAAACAGAAATGGAAGTGGGCATTCCCTCAAGCAAGACCCAAACCCAACCCTTCGAATGAGAGCACATTTTTTTTTACAGTTTAGAAAGGAAAGTAGAAAGGAGAGATCATCTCATTCTAATGACGAAGGCTGAGTGACCTTTCCAACCTTTCATAACTGGATAAAGCCTCATCAGAAATAACTGGAGGTAGTATCTTGACTTCTTTTCCAATGCTTTTCAACCACCATATACTCTTCCATCTCAATGTAACCTTAGAGATGAAACTATTCCTTCTCTGGTTGTTGTTGACATCTAACTTAAAGTGTGTTATTATAGGAGATCCACATGCTATTCTTATGTTTATTTCTCAATTAACCAAATTATAATATGTAACCTACAATCAGAATACCTTCAATCATAGAACAGATTAATATTTGTCAAATGGGAATGCATAAGCAGGGCTGCATCATGACTTTCACTGGCCCCAGGCACTTTTTGCTGTATGGGTTCCTTCCACCATATAAAAATATTAAAAATTTGTAAAGTTTTACAATTTAGTAGGATGGAGAAAAGCAATAAAGAAAATGAAATGGGGAGGGTGATGAGAACTATGACAACAACTATCTGGCCACGTAGCTGGCTGGGTAGGAGGCTCCTCTCCTGGCTGGTCCACATTTATTCACTACCTCCCTTGTTTCATCCCCTTGGAGTTGCTCTAGGGAGCCCTTAGAAGACCACTACCACCACGCTCCCAAACTATCCTGCCTGCTTACCTCTCTCTCTCACAGAACATTTTCTGTCATGCAGCTTGTCCTCTCAGTCCCCTATTCTCTGTTATGAAGCAACCCAGAGGGTGGATCATCATATAAATAAATGTCCCAATGTGTTCACTGGAGAACGTGCTGCTCCAAGTGGGAGTCACCTCTTCATTCTTTTTCCCATTATAGTGAAAAACATGCCCCGATGTTTACTGATGGCCTGATGTTTACAAGGTGGTCATCTGACTTGATGAACTGACTTGCAGAATTAGAAACTCTGGACAGAAAGCATGGTCTCTTACTGGCAGGCCAGCACCCTTTTCACAGCCAGCCTCCTCTGCATCCAAGCCTAAAACATCACTGCATAGCATCTCTGTATTCCTGTTCTATGGAAAAATAATTTCAAAGCAGTACGCAATCCAAGGGTAAATAAAGCAGAAAATCCATACATATTTAAGCCTTTTCTTGGTTAACGACTTTTACTAATGATGGCAACAAAATTATTGAAGCCTGCAATAAGCCATCCAGTGGTCAAATAGGTCACCTTATGACTAGTATTAAGATTTAAATATCCTTTAAAATTAAACAGTTTGGGGTTATTAATGTTTCCTTTCCTCTCAAAATTTTTGTGTTGAGGGGAGGTATGGGAGGAAATGTATTAGCAACAGTAGGATGTGAAGAATAACTCTAAGTACATTAAACATCTGTTGATGGAGCCATTAGCACAGGTTGTAGATACCGCCACCTGGCCTTTATTCCATTTTGCTCGAACTTTAGTACCTGAAAATATACTGTAGTAATTTTGTTCCACTTCTTTTAAATCTTTTACTACTGCATTAAGTGGAACATAAGCACTAATTAGTTCTCACTGAGACAAAAAGACCTGCTTATGGCAAAAATCAAAAGCCAATAAGAAAGTGGCAAGGGTTAAAGCATCACTTAGCATCTTGAGCTGGTGGTGTTACTGCCTGTATGAGAGGAAGTCCTTAAAACAGCAAATGGAGGTGAAAGCAGCTGTAGTTTATATAATCATGTTATTCAGTGAGAGAATTTCAGCTCCTTCCTCTATCATTTCTATAGGTTATTTTTAAGTGTAAGATTAGATTTTTCATGGTCAAGGCACTAAATAAAATAGGATCTTCAAAAAATAAGTCTCCATATTCCCCAAATGCTAAGCCTAAACTGTTTTTTTTTTTTTTTTTTTTTTAGGAAAGTCATGTGAACAAGTGCTTGTTCTGAATTTTCATCAGATTTACAAAGCTCAATTAAAGGCATTAAGCCTTCTCCTGAAAGGACGATTGACTTTCTTGATTTATAGCCCATTCATTCAGTCTTCTATAAAACATGGTCCCCAAGCTACAGAAGCACTGTGTCTGACTCAATCACAAAATCAGGCTTCCCTGTGTGCTGGCACATGGGCTCCTTCTATATTAACGTTTTCTTCACATACAAAGAGATTCATCAAGTTTTGCCGAGATGCTCTAAGAGAACTAAGCAATCAGAGTTTCATTTTTCAACTCCTCTATGAAGTGTCCCCATTTCCAGCTTGGCCATTTGAGATTTGAGGCTTCAATCTATTAATGTTAATGTCATGAATGGATGAGTTCCATAGTTCCACACACCGTAGATCTGCAGTGTTCCTTGAAATTGTTCTTAGCTCTAAATAATGTTATCTCTCTGTTCTTTATGTAGATACACTATATTATCCATTAGATGCTGTGGAACTCTGTGGCTGGACATCAGTCCCAATATCATGGCTAAAAAGATGTATCTTGGACCTAGGTTTGATGTAGTTGCCCTGGGTTACCAATTATAATTATATCAAAGGCATCTGCTTTCCATTCTTAACTGCAAATTGATGGAGTGAGTTGTGATAACATTTAAGTTTCACGTATTCTTTGACAATTCAATCTAGTTACTGTATTCACTTTCATACAATTTGTATTGAATAACTTGTATTGAACAACTTGTGCTTTAGTTTCCTTCTCTTCAAAATGATGAAAATGATTCCTGGGCTATATATTTAATGGATTACAGATATAAAATGAAAACACACATGTATCTTGAAGCATGGATGTAAAGAATAGCTGTTGATAGCATAACATTGTTTCTGACCTTTTCTTCTCCTTCCCATCCCCAGTGTCACTCTTCTAGTTTAGAAACTTTGTATGCCTTACCTATTACTTCAGTGTAGTCATTCTGGAAAAAAAACAACTTTCCTTCTTCTGGCTGAAATACTACTGATTCCTGAAGACTCAACTGACCTACTTTTTTCTCCCTAGAGACTTCCCAGTTCTTTCAGGCCTTTTCTCACAGAATTAATTGCTTACTTACCATGTCTTATGTAGCATTGTTGGTTTTGTTTTTTTGTTTGTTTGCTTGTTTTTTGAGACAGGGTCCCCTCTGTCACCCAGGCTGGAATGTGCAGTGGAAATCATAGCTCACTGCAGCCTTGAACTCCTGGGCTCACACAAACCTCCCACCTCAGCCTCCCAAGTAGCTGGGACTGCAGATGCACCACCATGCCTGGGTAATGATTTTTTTAAAATAACATTTGGTGGAGATGGAGTTATCACTATGTTGCCCAGGCTGGTCTTGAATTTTTAGCCTCAAGCAATCGTCCTACCTTGGCCTCCCAAATTGCTGGGATACAGGTGTGAGCCACCACATATGACCCATTGTTGGCTTTTGGTCAGTCTATTTCTTCAATTAAGTTGTAAGTCCTTTGAGGGAAGAAATCCTGGTTTGGTCACATTTTCATCCCCTAAAGTACCCAGCACAGTGTCTTAAGTCTTCTTGGATTGAACGGAATTGAACTGAATAAGGCTAATGAAGAAACCTGGCAATGAACTTTCTATTAATACCAAAGTAAAATTATTGATCTATTGCCAAATTCAGTGGCCAGTTCTTTTTATCTTCATATTTAGGACGTCTTGCAGCATTTGACACAGCAGATAACTCTCCTTCTTGAAGCACTTTTCCTGTAGGTTTTTGAGACATGACACTCTCCTTTTTTTCCTCCCATTTTACTGACTACTCCTTAATCTTATATTCTGACTCCACTTCCTCTGCTTACCTGCAAATGCTAAAATATCCCAGGCCTCTGTCTTTAACCCCCAACCCATTGATATAGTTTGGAGGTTTGTCCCCTTCAAATCTGATGTTACAATGTAATCCAACATTTCAATATCAATGTTGAAGGTGGGGCCCAGTGGGGAGGTGATAGGGTCATGGGGGCAGATCCCTCATAAGCGGCTTGGTACCCTTCCCTTTGTGATGAGTGGGTTCTTGCTTGGTTAGTTCATAGGAGCGCTGGTTGTTTAGAAGAAGCCGGCATGTCTCTTGCTCCCTCTCTCACCATGTGACACCCTGCTCCCCCTTCACCATTTTCCATGAATAAAAGCTTCCTAAGGCCTCACAAGAAGCCAAGCAGATGTTGGTGCCGTGCTTGTACAGCCTGCAGAAACATAAGCCAAATAAACCTCTGTTCTTAATAAATTCCCCAGCCTCAAGTATTCCTTTATAGTAAGACAAAATAAACTAACACACCCAAAAACTAACTCTTCCTACATAATATCATCTTGTCTGCTGGCATTAAATACCACTGATATGCCACCAATCCCATGTTTGTATCTCCAGCTCAAAGTGCTCCCCTGAATTCTGGGCTCATATATCCATTTGCCTTTAGATTTCCACCCATATATCCATTTACCTTTCAGGATGACCAATTTTCAACTTGAATTTAACATGTCTAATGTAAAATTTTAGATTTCCTTCTATTCCTTCCCAAATCTGGATACTCTCCCAATTTTCTCAGCAAATTGATAAAGTCAAATATCTAGAAGTCATTTTCCATTTCTCCCAATCCCTTGTATTCTGAACTCTGCCTGAAAAATGTATCTCACATCTGACCTCTTCTCTCCATCTCCACTACTACAATGCTAGTCAAAGCTGCCATCGCTTCTGGCCTAGACCGAGTGGTCTTCGAGATTCCAGCCTTTCTCCCACAGCCTTTTCTCCACACTGCTATCAAATGAAACTATTGAAGAGCATAAGTCCAATAATGTCAGTTAAACTCTTCCAAAGCCTTCCCATTGGATTAGAATATAATCTAAATTTTCTTCCCATATCGTGCAAGGCTCTGGGTTCTGCCTGAGTCTCCCAGTTTGTCTCCTGCACATTCTTTCTCATACATTCCACCCCTGCAGGGCACTCTCAAGGGCTTCTCCCTTTGCTGCCTAAACACTCTTCCCTCCTCATCCTTTAGATCTCAGCTCAATGTCCCTCTTCAAGAGGGCCTTCCCTTACTGCTCCAGCTAAGGTAGTCTTGCCTCTTACCCTATGACCCTCTGTTCCATTATTTTATTGTATTATTTGAAATTATAGCTGTCAGAAAGTATTCATTTATTTTTACATTTAGTGTCTGCCTCCTCCAACCCCTCTTTGAATCAGATACTTTTCATATTCATTGTATGTGACTATCATTTAGGACAATCCCTGGCCAATAGTAGGTACTCAACAAATACCTGTTGCATGAATTGATTTTCTACCTTATTCATTTAACAATCACTGAGAATGATTTACGTATAGGCTATGTATATGTGCTTATTATATAACCTGATAAAATATGGTTTCTATTTTCAGGGCATTCACAATGTAGCAGAGGAGACAGCAAAATAAACAGAAGTAGAGCACAGTGGGCTGTCCTTGTTGAGGAGCATGCAGGAGCTATGGGCAGCATGTAGCTGGGACATGAAACATAGACCTGGGTTGGATATAGGAAGTTTGGGAAAAGGCTTTCTGAAAGGGGGTGTCTATTAATGCCAAAACAAATTACTACAAATTAAGCACCTTAAAACAACATCCATTTATTATCTCATAGGTCCGCTGGTCAGAACTCCCTCTGGGCTCAGCTGATTCTCAGCTTAGAGTCTCATGGGTCAAAATCAAGATATCAGCAACACAGTGTTCCTTTCTGGGCTCTGGGTTTAAATTACATTTAAGCTCATTCAGAGTGTTGGCAGAGTTCAGTTTCTTGCCATTGTAGGACTGAGGTTCTCATTCCTTGCTGGCTGTCATCCAGAGGCTGATCTTTATTGCTAGAGACTACTCACATTTTTTTTGTCCTGCTTTCCATGTAGCTTTCCAGGAATGGGGGATAAATTCTCTCTCGTGCTTCAAGTTTCTGCAACTTCCCCTTCTGCCTCATGTCTTTTCTGCCTCTGGTCAGAGAAACTTCTCTGCTTTTAAGAGTCCATGCAGTTTACATTGGGCCCACCTGGAAAATCTGGGATAATTTTCCCATTGTATGGTCTATGATGTAAATTGTATCTGTAAAGTCCCTTTTATCAAGTAACATAAGATATTCACAGGTTCCAGGGATTAGAACATGGACATCTTGAGAGAATGTTTTTCTACCTACCATAGAAAAGATACCTCACCTAGGTCTTTCAGATTAATTAGGAGTTAACTAGGCAAGAAATGTGAAAAAGAATATTCCAGGAAATAGGAAAAACCAGAGAATCATAAAATCCTTGCCAGTCTTTCCACATGGATGTCTGTGTATGTGGAAAGGGTGTGGGGCCAGGTCTAAGGGTTGTAAGATGAACAGAAGCCAGATGTTGAAGGACCTTGTGCACCGCAGGGAGGAGTTTGGAATTCATTGTGAAGTCAACTGAGAGTCATCCCATAGGCTGGGAGCTCATGATAGGATTGTGGAGAATAGCAACCCAGGTAGGGCAGGGTTTGCTGCAAGAGCAGAGGAACTTGTACCTAGGACTGTCTGAATACTTCTGTGATCCAACAAGTGAAAAACTCGAAGCAGCAGATTGTGCAAAAACCTGTGTAAGATGCTCCAGATAGGCTGGGAAGACTCAGGTGCCATGATTTCCTACTTCCTACCAGGACCACGAAAGGATCCCCAACCCCAAATTATCTTACTTGTTGATGTCTGAAGATCTTAATTTAGTTTTAATATTCAAAATTCTCCGAGATAGAGATCAGTGTTCACTAAATACATCCTTCTTTTCTAAAAAATATGCTTTCCCTCCCATCATGGTTCAGCTTATTAAATTGGTAATTCATTCAACAAAAAATACATTGAAGGACTAGTTTAAGTAGTGTGGAGCAGCCATTCACACATATGAATTAGTATTACCACATTTATATCTTCATGGTCTTCATTTTTCTACCCTCTCTAAGGACAGATAAAGCTTTGTCAGTTTTGATCTTGCTCTTAAGACTGGCTTTTATGAATCACCCACTGGCTAATATCTTTCAGTGTTTTATATTGCTGCTTTTTTCAAACTTGTAATTTCAGACATGGTTTCAAGTTTCAGCAAGTTTTTTATTACATATATATGTATATATAAATACATTTGTACATAAAATATTTACATATGCACATACATAAAATATATTATACATATATGTAAGCATACATATACATATGTACTATAATGACATCTATTTTTTATAAATATCTTTGAAAGATAATAGAAAATTATTCTAAAACCTGTCCACTTCCTAGTCAAGATTGTCTGATTCAATTTTCTTTTCTTTTTTTTTTTTGAGACGGGGTCTCGCTCTGTCTCCCAGGCTGGAGTGTAGTGGCGCGATGTCGGCTCACTGCAAGCTCTGCCTCCTGGGTTCACGCCATTCTCCTGCCTCAGCCTCCCGAGTAGCTGGGACTACAGGCGCCTGTCACCACGCCCGGCTAATTTTTTGTATTTTTAGTAGAGACGGGGTTTCACCGTGTTAGCCAGGATGGTCTTCATTTCCTGACCTCGTGATTCTCCCACCTCGGCCTCCCAAAGTGCTGGGATTTACAGGCGTGAGCCACCACGCCCGGCCGTCTGATTCAATTTTCTTAAATGTTGATTACATTCGGTGTGAGGACACGCCCCGCTCAAGAACCCACACCCCAACAGTCACCATCACTGCATGTTTCTAATAGACACTTGGTTTTAGCAAAACAAAACCATCTGTCACGTTAAATTAAATGTTAATATGAATGGGTTGGTTTTTTAGTTCAGTTTATACAAAAATTGAAATTTCATTTTGTTTAATAAGGTTTGTATCTAGTTTTGTGGCCCTATGTATATAAGTAACATTATTTTAAGATCAAGTTCATACTGGGGGGGAGTTCTTGACAATATTTTTTATTCCTAATTTAAGTTTCAGAAACGCATCTCTATTGTTTTAATTATTTGCTTGCTACCCTTCACAAGACAGGTGGTTATATTCCAGTGATATAATTGAGGGGAAGGCGGGGGAAAAGTGGGGTTACTTAGAGAACTATAGTATCAAAACATCTCTGAATTTGAAGGAAAGAGAGATTATGTAGTTTCACAGGGTCTCTATTCTGAAAATTTCTATACTACAAGCATGCATATTTCTCTTTATTGCATTACACATTAATTGCATTCTATATAGAAATTAAGACGCATTATAATAATTTTTCTTTACAATGAAAAATCAATACCTGATTTTCTGTTGAAGTTCTTGTGTAAAGTAGAACTTTAAGAATAAAAAAAAAACCTGTTAAATCCAACTCCATCCCACATACATCTATATTAACAGATTTAAAACGACAACAACAAAGCCTGGAGAACTTGAATGGCTTATCATACAACTTGTTGGTAGCTTAATCAGAACCTACCTTTTCTATATCTTAGACTCAGACTGAGACAGGCCTGCTTATGACCTGTGCCTAGGGCACTTTACACTTCTCCTTCATCAACTCAGAGTCACTAAAATGACCAGTATTTGCCTTCCCCCACTGGACTCAGAGCTCTGTCAAGACAGGAACCTCTTATGCCGGATTCCTGATGTAGCCCAGTGTTGAGCACATATTTGGTGAGTAAGAGAGTGGGTACAGGGAAGGGCAAAGAAATGAAATGAATACAAGGAAGGAAGGAAGGAAGGAAGGAAGGAGGGAAGGAAGGGAGGGAGGGAAGGAAGGGAGGGAGGGAGGGAAGAAACAACGGAGAGATAGGGCAGGTCTGTAAACCTCGAATCTACTCTTTCTACTATAGCATGCTCCATGCAAAACCTTAAATCTACTGCTTTTTTTGGGATTTTCACTTGAGATTATAATGCTGTCATACCCAAAGGGCCATAAGAATTGAAGCTAGTTTAACATGATACCATAACTGAAGAAAACTTTATGAAGGTAAGACTATGCATATTTCACTAAAACTATATATCTAAGCCAAGCACAATGCCTAGCATGTAGCATGTGCTGAAAACATATTTATTGGATAAGTGTATACAGGCATTTTGAGAAGACGAGGGAAAAGTGTCACAGCCCACTCATACAAATCTGTGACGTCTTCAGCCAAGCAATTCATTTGTTTAGAAAATGAATCACAAGAAAATCAAACACATCCTCA
This sequence comes from Homo sapiens, assembly GCF_000001405.40. Classification (NCBI taxonomy): domain Eukaryota; kingdom Metazoa; phylum Chordata; class Mammalia; order Primates; family Hominidae; genus Homo; species Homo sapiens. The sequence continues at coordinate 116,967,461 of NC_000006.12, forward strand.
GCAAATGGATTACAGGAAAACTATCTTTAATCCAATATTGCAAGATTAAAATTTACATTTATAAAGGATAATACAAATAGAGGGAAATAGAACGTGAATAAAATGAAATTAAATGCCTTAGTAAAACACTACAGAAAGAAACCTGTTTCCTCTAAAATAAAGATTGGACAGTTGGTAAACTCAAAAGGTACAATGATCTCTCCCAACTGAACCAAGTACAGAGAAACTGCCCTAAGAATGAATGACCACTCTTAACCACCTGTATTGCAGAAAATCATATGCAGATGTTGCAAACTAAGCAAGAGCAATGAAAAAAAAATCAGTGGGAAGAGCAAGCAATGGGTGAGTCTGGGGAAGCAGTCAGGGAATGTTGTGGTGGGTTAGTGGTAGGATGAAAGATCTCAGTTATGGTAGCATGGAGTGGCAAAGAGAGAGTCCAGGCTTTGCAGCTGAATAGATTTGGATGGAACATTTCCCATCTATGTGATTTTGGATAAATTATCTTCTTTGAGCTTTAGTTTTTTTATGCACAAATTGAGGACTATGATAATTGCATTAGAGTTATTATATAAATAGTTGCTGACTATTTACATAGTCATATGTATTGCATATGACTAATGCAGTAAGCACTCATCAACGGTATTTTATTATTATCATTATTATTTTACTATTACTATTTTTCTATTATTTTTATTATTATTTTACTATTATGATTATGATTGCCTCAGCATCAGGGATCTTTGAACATAAAGGGGAAAAATGGTAGCACTATTTCACTTTGATATTTCTAGCAAGCTCCTAGGTGATGCTGATGGGGCTAATCCATGGACCACACTTTGAAAAGCCAGGTTGAGCCCTTTTGGAATCTCTGGCCGTCCTCCATAACCACAGTTCAACAAGATCTCCAAGTGAGTCCTATGTAAACCAAAGTGTAAGAAGCACTAATGTAGGGTACAGATCTTCTGATGCAAGAATTCTTTCTACAAGAGAGACTGTGAGGACAAGTTTACTTTGTGCTAAACAATAACAATTATGTTAATGGAGGTACATCGTTTTGAGTTTTCTTCTCCTTGTGTCCTGCAGGAAGAAGGATCAGTTGAGGAGGCAGCTGATGTTACAGAAGAGCTGACCCTCACTCACTGTCACTGAGGCAGCTAAGCTTGACTCCCTTGCTTTTTATAGAATGAGGATTTGAAAACAGCTGGGCTGCTGTGTTCTTAGAGTGTTACTAGCTAGGCCAAAGTGGATCAGCTGTTACTAGGGTCCCTTTAAGCCTTTCTTGTTGTGGCTTGGTTCATTTTCAAAGGCAGCAAGTAGAAAAGGTGCCTAGTGCTTCTCCCTGTCCAATGCAGCTAATTGCCCCTCAGTTCTGAGCAAAAGGCATCCCTTGTGCTTTGATGCCTGAATGTATGGGAAGGTGCAACTGGTTTACTTGTCTGGGGCCTCTCTGGGAGAGATTTGTAGTCCCAAATTTATCATGGGGGTATGTAAAGGGACATGGGTTGGAAACAGCAGAGACTATTTTCCCGTCTGAATCTCTGTCCTTAATCGAAAGTAGAATGGTTTCTACCTCACTGTTGGTCAGGCTTTGAGGAAACAGAAATGGAGAAGTGGGAAAAGCTATGGGAGAATTAAATAAGGGGAGAAAATTCAAAGGAATTTTCTAGCTCCGAAGAGAAATTTAGACCACAAAAAGGAGAATCTTGGATTCATGCCCCCTGGCTGCATATTATCAGAATAATCTTTGTATTACAGTGGGGTAAGAACGAAACAGGTCTGCTATAGATACTCACTTATCAATCAGGAGTCAGAGTCTATAAAATAGAGGTGAAGTAAGAAACAGGTTAATAAGAGAACAGTATATCTACAATCTGTCTGGTTCAAATAGCCTCATCCTCTTTTGAGAAGCCAAATCTACGCTCACTACTCCCCCTGCTGGATCTACAAGAGTAGATTCCCAGATTCATAAACTGCAAATCATTCATTTAACCTGCTCTCTATGAATTAAGCACTTGCACTGAAGTACGCAATGCCATTTTGATGGAATGGGGAGAACAAGGCCAACTCTTATATTTCTGACTGTTTATATTGCTAGATAAAAAAGAAAATCCAGCATAACTTATTTTCCATAGGAAAGAAAAATAAAAGCAAAAGGTCCCAGCTGTAGACACCTTGATAGCATTGATATGTAAGTATTCCTAGAAATAATGAATAAGTATTCTGCATGTACTACAGCAGCAAGACTTGCGCAACTTCTCCTCCCCTTTCTCTTTCTGTAAATCTCACAGCAAGGACAGTGAGTGCTTCCTTCTTTCTCATTGCAAATGGAAATGCTCTCGGCATGCTGGCTTCAATGGCAAGTATTGCATTATTTTAAAAACTTTCAGAGAAAAACAGTAAGAATGATTGAACAGCTCACCACGGGCAGGTAAAATCTATTAAAAGCATTTTTATTCTTTATTTCTAAAATAGTTTGTCATAAACATCCCTCCTTAATTCCTCTTTCCATCTTAATCAGGAAGCTTTTATCATGGGATCATTTTAAAAATTTTATTGTGGATAATTTCAAACCTATACAAAAGTGAAAAAGATAGTACCACCCTCCACACACTCATCCACCCAGCTTCAACAGTTATTGACACAGGTCCAATCCTCAGTGTCTAACTTTCTCCTGTAGCATTATTTTCAAGTATATATCACACATATTATTTCATTAATAAATGTTCTAGTATGTATTCTAAAACATACTAGACTATTATTCATTAATTATATACAGATTAATATATATTTATATATACTGTTATTATATATTTATATATTTATATTAATATATAATATATATTTTATATTAATATATTATATTAATTAATATATAATATCTATTATATATAGTTCACTATATAGAATGAACATAACTATAATATTATTACTAGACTTAAAATTAACATTTCTTAATATAGAATATCCAGTAAGTGTTCAAATTCTAATGCCCTATGAATCATTGATTTTTCATAATTTGTTTGAATTAATTTCAAAGTAAGGTTCACAAATTGTGCCTCATTGATATGTATTTTAAGACATTTTAATCTACACATTTCTTCTCCAACTCTCTTTTCTTTGCAATTATTTTTGAGGAAGCCAGATTGTTTGTCCCATAGAATTTCCTTCTTCTGGATTTTACTGATTGCACCTCTGTATATTTTAATAAGTTTTTTTTTGTCCTCTGTATATTGGTATTTGAGCCTAGAGGCTTGCCAAATAGGTTGAATTTTTTAAGCAAGATTACTTTATAGGTAGTGGTGTGTTCGTCTATCAAGAGGTATCAAGAGTCTGATGATTACTCCTTTGTCCTGTTAGCAGCTGTTGATGCTCAATGCCTAAACAATTAATTCATTCATTGTGGGTTGGAAGATAATGATAGTAATGATATGCTAATTCAATAATTTCTTATGTACTTAATAACTGGACTATTCTACAGAAAAATACTTATGTTTGGTTACCCAGTGATATAGTTTGTGTAGGAAAGACAAGTTACTAATTTTTACCTTCTATTTACTAATTATCAAAATAATGAGGTGGTTCCCTAAAACCCTCCAAAAGTGACTAATTAATTTTGTTTCTAATCATGTGTCTTTAAATGACCTTTAAGGTCAGTTTTGGAATAGTTGGGTTTTGACACAATTCACAGGTTTCTACCAATTAATTATAAATTTGCTTTTCCATTATTCTTATTCCATTTTTTTCCCTTTTTTACAGTGATATGTATTTTCAACCTTTCATTTGGATAGGTATCTTTTTTCCTTCAGTGGGAAGTTACCTGTTCCTTCTCCCAAAGCCTTAAATATTTATTTCTATTTTTTCTCTCTCTCACCCAGTCTCAAACATAAACCTACTCATTCATGCATTCATTCATTTATTTGTTCATCCATTAAACAATGCCTGTGAGTGCTAACTATGTGCCAGGCATTGTCCTGAAACAGACAAAAATTCCTTTATTATTAAAATTATATTGCAATGGGGAGGACAGGAAACATACACAAGATAAAAAAGACCTCCCACTCCTGTTTTTAATGCCATCCTCCCATTTTTGTTCCCCTTTCTTCCCAACAGCATTGTCATCAGTTTTAAAGCCTTCTGAATTATAATAATGAATGAAGCTATTTTTTTTTGTTTGGAAGTTGGCAAGAAGTTGAGATGCAGGGGAATTGGAAGGAAAAGTTTTTTGTTTTTTTTTCTGCAGTTGTGAATGTATAATACTGTGTTTCTTTATGTCGGTATGTTTATACCTAGTTGTGCCTATGTAATAACTTGGCCAATGGCTAATCAGGGAGTTTGGGGGGTCAGAAGCCAGGTCCCTGAAAATGGTATTGCAGAACAGAAAGAGACCGGTGATCACTGGTGTGCTAGATACTCTGGGGACTGGGATACAATTTTTTTGGTATTGTTAATACTTTGTTTCTCTGCCTAAACTAGCATTTCTTAAAATGATGCATATTTGAATTTCCAGGAAAGCATAAGAACTACTAATGCCCAGGACGTAGATGAATACATCAGAGTTTCTGGGGGATGGGAATGGAGACTGTTCTAAAAGGTCCCCAGGTGATTCTAATGTGTAACCAGAAATGAAAATGTGAGGCTAAACTTTCTGTTAAGTAATGACCAAATAAAGCAAGTTCTTCAATACTGTCATTAGAGGGCAGCACTGCCCCAAAAATTCAAAAATCTGACCTGTCATCCATGTCTCATTGCACTAGTTTGATAGACATTTTTTTGCATTTTAAATTAAATATCCTACTTTTATAAAACTGTACTTGGGTTCCAGAATTATCTAAGCTTTAATTGTACTTTATAATTCTATTAATTTTAAAGTAATAAAAATTTAAACTTTTAAAGTAGTTCTGATTATAACAGCAATTTCAACAAATTCAGGTCATTTCAAACTACATTAAAATTTATTTCAGTATTTATTTTAACTGATACATATCATTGCACATATTTATGGAGTACAGTATGATGTTTTGATACATGTATATATTGTGTAATGGTCAAATCAGGGTTTTCAGCATACTCATATATTTATCATTTTTGTGTGGTTAGAATATTTGAATTCATCTCTTATAGCTATTTTGAAATACAAAATATTTAACTACATTATTTTAAGCCAACATTATTTGAAACTACAGACGAACAACTCCAAAAACATTACCATAATAAATAACATTTCATTTTTGATGAAAATTGGGAGAAATATTTCAAGATTTGGCAAATAGTATTAATTTTTTAAAAAATAACATGAGTTGTCAGCATGATTGATTTCCAATCCTAGAGGTTCAAAGTGTACAAAGTTGGACAAGATCAGGAAATAATAGAAAGGAATGTATTTCATAAGCCTGTGTCAGTGTCTGAGAATAATTTGAAGATGTTTGCTGTACTGATTAGATTCGGCAGATGGGAGAATTCTTGAGTCAATAACCCAGCCTGATTTTATACAAAGATTCTCACTTCCTGAAAACTTATGAAAGGACATTATATATTTTTAAAGGCTTTACCTCCAGTCTGCATTATATATGAGTGGGGTTCCTATCATAAGATGGCAGAGAATGTAGTTGATCTAATAAAGATTAGGTTGAAAAAGTGATTATTCCCTAAACCTTTTCAGGGTGGAGAGAGTATGGGTGTCAACTTGGTGGAGTGCTGTTTGAGAAGTAGCATTAGGTTTACTTAAACATGGATTTTATGGCACCATATGGATCAAATCTTTCTTCCGTCTACTTTCACTTGTTGTCAATACATACGTTTAAAAAGTAAGAACTCTTCTAAGAACTGAAAAGTCCCACAACAGAAGTCTATTTATCAAGGGCCTCATTTTACAATGAAACTTATCTGTCTCGTTGTTCTGAGTACTGTAAAAATCTAGTTATTTAAAGAATCAATGCAGCAAACCCAGAAATAGTAACTTTTTTATATTCATATATGTATAGTCATTTGGATATAGAAACCAACTTTATACACACACGTAAACATACACACATACCCTCACCAATGGACTTTGGGCTTTAATAACATGATGTTTCTATTAAAATTTAAGTTCCATCCACACACTATGCCAAAAAGTCTCATTAATGTAAAAATGATCATTCAACAACATAGCCTCAAAATTCACAAACACTGCAGCTTTTTACTCCAGAGGTCCTTATATAGATGGGCAAGACTTCTCTTCACTGCAGATATTCCACTGCATCCTTGTAAGACTTGAACTAGACATATATAAGATTATAAACTAGTTATACCCACATTTATGTAGTAGAAATTTGTTTAAAGCACAGTGAGAAAGGCAGCAAAGACCAAAGACACCTCCCCTCTTATAAATAATATTTCTCTTCTTAGGTAAAATAGATTTGTACCTGATCTTTCTAGCGAAAATACTTTTCATCTCTAAAGATGCCAAACTGCCTGTGTTGTGCTCATTCTTCAGCGTGTATGAATGAAAACAAGATAAAACATGGTGTTAACAGATAGCAGAAGAGCCTTGCTCGTAATGGTGCAAGGACAATGAGCATTCCTAATCCCATGCTTGGAACACTCTGCTGCCCCCACATCTGCTGGTCTCCTTTCCTATAGTCATGGGAGCTATTTGGCCATTTTGCTTAAGCGCACACAAGTCAACTGATTCCCCAGTCCCTTTGCCACAGGCCTGCAAGCGTAGGATGGAAAACAATTTCAACATTCGCTGCTTGGACTGCCGCCCTTAGAAGCACATTTGTTGTTCATACATGGTCTTTTGGCTGCCTTCTTTCCCAGCCATCTGTTAAAGGAGACATTGTGCCTGCTCTGATGGGATGGTGCCACTATTTCTAAGAGACTCACAAAGTGTATGTGTCTTAACTACCTGGGCTTTACAAATTTCAAAGCACATTTACTGATTGGTATTGAATTTTAAAAGCAATGCATAATATTTGTTGGTTTGAAAAAATCATTATTAAAGACTATTTCTTAAAGCAGTTTTAGGTTAGCAGTAAATTGTGAGGAAGGTTCCCAGATATGCCAAATATCCCTTCCCCTACACATACATTTTAAAACTCTGTAGAGCTGAGAAATAAGTAAGGGCTACATTCTGTGTCCAGATAACTTGTGAAATTCCCAAAAGAACTATCCAGATCTCCTTTTAGTGGGGGCAGACAATGATATTGAATGCTGCTTTTTCCATGATTGAATGCAGGATATAAATACAGCTGTATGCATCACTGCTTTCTCCTTTCATGTGACCAGCTCTGAGAAAACAGTGACTATACACCTGTTATCCTCTTATCCTCAGGGCTACACATGTCTCATCAATTCACAGAGCTCGTTTATACACTCGGAATAGTTGATTTGTGTATCATTGATTATGCTTCAGTCCATGAGAGCCAAATTTTCATTGGCAAGCCATATTAGCACTGAGAGTTCATGTATGTGGTAATAGATTTGCTCTATGACATTCCCAAGGACTGGGATTGCCTTTCCAAAGACGGTTGGGTTGAGCTTTTTGTAGCTTTCAGCTTGTACATTTTTGAAGTTTGCCATTTCCCTTTTCAAGTTTCCGATGTGCTTTTCCCCAGATTCCTAAGCATTCCCAGGCAGAGTCTGAGCCTGTCCCCAGGTCTCTGTCAGGTTTCATCTTTCCACTGGATAGGTCATCATGTTTTGCAGCCAGCTTGTGTATCCTTCTGCACTTGGCTGATGACCATTTCACATATTGACATCTGGATCGGAAAGCAAAGCTAATTTGGGAAGCAAGACTAACAAAGCCAGCCAAATACCACCTGAATGAACTCTAGCACTGACTCAAACAATAAAAATTGTTATTGTGTGTGATTACCACCAAATTTTATCATTTCTAAGTCTTGTTCCTCCAAAATTCCAGTTAAAGTAATAATTTCTTAACTGAGACTAACACATTAAAAGAATAATCTAAAACCATGTATTTTTTTGGTAAAGGATTACCAAATTTATAGTATTGTGTTCATGCTCAGGACTAGATGATTATTATTTATCTTATATAGAAAGTAGAATCTATCATCTTTTTAACAAACAGATGTGGTAGGTGATGAAGATACATTATCTCACTTCATCCAGGGGGATTTTGTTCAGGTGATGGGTAGCTGTAAGTGAAGTGGTTGCATATTGTGTGAAGAGCAGTCCTCATGCAGAGTGCCAGGCTAGGCAGGGAAGATCTAGAAGAGGAGTAACTGGGTGGAAAGGGCAAACAGCAGAGGGAAGTTCTCATGAGCTGAACAGTGGTAATGGGATAGCAAGCAGTGAAATGAGCTCACTGACCAGTTCAGGAGAGTGTAATAGGCGCCTTGTAACTGAGGATGAGCAATCTGATCTCAGAGCCCCATGCAACAGGAAGCTATGACTGGTTCTGTGTACTGGGCTAGGGTGTGGTAATCGAGACTACTTATGATCTGTTTGTGTTCCCCCCAAACTAATATGTTAAAGCCCAATCCCCAGTGTAACGGTATTAAGAAGTGGGGCCTAATCAGGTAATTAGGTCACAAAGAGAGAGCCCTCATGAATGAAATTAATTCCCTTGTAAAAGAGCCCCCAGAGAGGTCACTGTAACTTTTTACCATAACTTCACATGTCCCTTCTGCCATGTGAAGTTACAGTGAAAAGACTGCCATTTATGAATCAGGAAATGGGTCCTCACCAGACACGGAGTCTGCCAGTGCCTTTATCTTGGACTTACCAGTATCCAGAACTGTGAGGAGTGTTTGTTGTTTCTAATCCACCCAGTTTACGGCATTTTGTTATAGCAGTTTGAATGGATTAAGACACGAATTAAGGCTTAGGCTGAATGTAGCCTAAAAAATTACATCACAGTGGGACAGAGCCTAGGAAGGCTTACGGCTGATTGCAAACCTGAGGTGTTCTAGCCTACAAATGGGTAGTTAACTGCCTCTGACAGTGAGCTCTGAGAGAGAAGCACCATGTATATCTTTCTTGTACATCATTACGTTTCCAGGGTTGAACACAGAACCTAGCACAGTCATATACTGCATAGTGATGTTTTGGTGAACTATGGACCACATAAACAAAGGACTATGGACCACATAACATGATAAAAAAGCTGAAAAATTGCTATTGCTTAGTGATGTTGTAGCCATTGTAATATCATAGTACAATGCATCACTCACACGTTTATGGTGATGCTGGTGTAAATAAACTTCCTGTGCTGACTTTTTAATAGTTATTTTACAGTGTACCCCTATTTATTAAAAAAAAAAGTTAATTGTAAAACAGCCTCAGGCAGGTCCTTCAGGAGATATTCCAGAAGGCATAATTGTCTCAGGAGATGACAGCTCTAGGCATGTTTTTGTCCTTGAAGATCTTCCAGAGGGACAGGATGTGGAGGTGGAAGACAATAATATTGATTATCCTGACCCTGTGTAGGCCTAGGCTAATGTATGTGTGTGTGCCTTAGTTTTAACAAAAAAAGTTTAGAAAGTTAAAAAAAATTAATAAAAAACTTATAAAGTTATAAAGAAAGGAAATGTGTGTTTTAAGCTAAATGTTATTACAAAAAAGTCAAAAAGGTAAATTGAAAAGTTTATAAAGTAAAAGTCACAGTAAGCTAAGGCATATTTATTATTATTTTTTAAATCTAGTGTAGCCTAAGCAGACAATGTTTATAAAGTCTACAATGATGTACAATAATGTCTTTCACATTCACTCACCTCTCACTCACTGACTCATTCAAAGCAACTTCCAGTCCTGCAAGCTTCATTCATGGAAAGTGGCCTATACAGGTGTTCCTTTTTCATCTTTTAAGGTAAGATAATTTTACCGTACCTTTTCTATGTTTAGTTATGTTTAGGTACACAAATACTTCCCATTGTGTTACACTTGTCTACAGTATTTGGTACAGTAACATGCTGTACAGATTTGTAGCCTAGGAGCAACATGCTATGTAGCCTCGGTGTGTAGTAGGCTATAGTATCTAGGTTTGCATTAGTGCATTCTATGATGTTTGCAAAATGATGAAATTGCCTAATGATGCATTTCTTCTGAGAAATGCATATCCCCATTGCTAATCAGCTCATGACTGTATATAGTAGGTGCTCCATCAATATGGTTGAACAAGTGAGGGAGTAAGAGAAAAGAGTTTTGTGTGATGGTTTGAAGAAAAGAACACTAAGAATTGCAATGGAATGGCTTTTTTTGTGTGAATGGCAGTTATTATTCCAAAAGTCCTTGGGTTAGGACCAGAGGTAAATTTGCCACAGCTTCAAAAACTTAAACTTCAGGGACCCTTGCTTGCACAGTCACTCGTTAGGATCGTGGTAGTGACTTGCTAATGAGTACATGTGTCTTCTGTTCTTGTAAAATTAATAGAAAAGAAAGACATTTTAACAACAATCGATAAGACTACTGTCTTTTTCCACTCTTAATTTGTCTGGCTCATGAATACCTTCAAGTCGTAGTATTGAAGTAGCTGGGATCCTTTTTTGAATCTGCCTACAAGGAAGTTACATTGAGGCTATATTTAGTTTTGGTTTAGCGATTTTCAGTAATTTTTTAAGTGTAGTTAAGTTAGAGGGATACTCATGCCCACAGTTACAATTCACCTAGTGTTGTGACAGAAAAGGCCAGGAGCAGAGGAACTCTCAGACAAAACCACCTACTTCCAGAGACAATGTTAAGTGTCTTACTGTGCTAGTACCCAAAGAATGTGTGGCAGAGGTGAAACAAGTTTTGAATTGTTTAGAGCTAAAATCTAGTTCCGTGAAATTGTTTTTCTCTTATATCATGTGTAGATTTAGAAGCCAGGTTGACAGTTCTCACTAACACCTAATCAAAGTGAATTTATTCCCCTTGAGAATGTACTCAGTAATGCAGTATAGAACATTGCAAATTCCAATTCACTACATGGTTTTTGTTTTTTTTTTTTCTTTAAGAGACAAGAACTGGGCACAGTGGCTCATGTCTTAATCCCAGCACTTTGGGAGGCTAAGGCAGGAAGATTGCTTGAGGCCAGGGGTTCGAGACCACCCTAGGTAACACAGGGAGACCCTGTCTCAAAACAAGGAGAGAGACAGGGTCTTGCCTTGTTGCCCAGGCTGGATTGTAGTAGCGTAATCATGGCTCACTGCATCCTCAGCCTCCAAAATGACGCAATTCTCCTCGCTCAGCCTCCTGAGTAGCTGAGACTACAGCGAGTGCCACCATGCCCAAAGAATTTTTTTAAATTTTTGTAGAGACCAGCAGTTTGAGACTAGCCTATGCTGCCTAGGCTGGTCTCAAACTCCTGGCCTTAAGCAATCCTCCTACCTCAGCCTTCCAAAGTGCCGGGATTACAGGCATGAGCCACCACACCCAACCCATATTTTTTTCCTTTTTGACAAAAGTTTTATAAAATATAATTTATCAGGAGTTTTATATCACTAGGTCATAACCTTTTGCCAAGTTACAAATAGGAATATGACTGTACATTAAGTCACATATTTTATGCATCCCAATTATTGACATTAAAAAACAAATTTATATAATTCATGGTAGAAGAGAGAATTACCTTTCTACCATGTCTATAAAATATTTTTAGAATTACTGTAATATAATTAGGTGATAAAAATATGCAGACAAAAATGTAGGAAAGAAGGTATATTAAGTTATATCAGGCAACATACTAAAAATTGTATGTTGTTTTTCTTGGCTTTTATAGTATTTGTGATATGTGTCAGCTTTTAGAACTTATAATGGTTAGAATTGCTTTTTTCATGTTGCATATTTGTTTAATTTTATATTCATAATTTTCTATTCTTTCTCTCTTAAGAGCCCCTCTCCCTAAATTATATAAACTTCGGGATCCATAAAATCTAATTAAAACAGAGGTGGTGAAACTGACATGGAGAGTTTCAAAGAAAGATAAAGAGAAATGTTTCCATGTATGAGAATAGAAATAATCAGTTCAAGATATTGGATGAGCATATTTAGGAGTAGAATGTAGCAGAGAGATTGAGGACAGACCGTGTAAAATTGTGTCTCATTTGCATGCAGGGGAGCCATGACATTGAGGGATTTAAAAAATTAAATTGAATAGATTATAGTGACATTAGTAGAAAGAAATACTGGTAGATACAGACACAAGTCCGAACCTGAAAGACTTCTATTTCCAGTGGACATTAGCAAGATGTAATCCTAAAGGTGAGATTATCAAGGTAGAATGTAAAAGTAAATTCCTGGAAGCTGGGATAGGAAAAAATAATACTGAAAAGAGCTACAGAATATATAAATGAGTTATACATACATTATCTGCTGATAAGGCACTTTAAAGTGAAAGTAATTTTTTTCTTTAACATTTGTTAATATCAGTACTACTAACCTCCATAATATAATAATAATAATAATAATAATAATAATAATAATAAAATCTATTCAGAGGATTTTTTAGGACTCAGATATACATTGAAAGTGCTTAGCATAGTGTCTGGCCTAGAATAAATGCAAAAATTATACATTTCAACTATGTATTATTAAAGTAAAAATGAAACCAGTTGAAGTCTGTAAGACATAAAGAAAAAAACTTCATGATAGAGCAGGCTTAGTGGATGTTTACAACCTCATTGGTTATAAATCACCATGCAAGGTAAATATGTGAACATGTATTTAATATTTTATCACTATGAAAAGGTTCATCCTCAAGGAAAGTTTTAAGAGACTGGAAGGAATACAAATTTAATAAAAGAATTGGCTTAATTGTATTACCTGTTTGAAACAGCAAAGCTTTATATCCACTAATAAGATACCACTTAGTGGCATATGATAAAGCTCAAGGAAATTTCACAAAGCCTAGACTGATCTTCCTGATCTTTTTCACTCCTAGACAGTATCTTAAATATATCAAGGACAAACCGTGATACACAGACTATAGAATGGCCATAGAAAACCTCATACACACAGACAACTTACAAAAGCTTCCCAACATGTCTTTTCAATATGCTAAAGTTACAGTTAACAGAGTCTGCAGAGAGGTAGTTTCCAGTTTTTCTTCATCCTGGTTTTTCATATCAGAAAATCTGAAATATAAGAGAGCTCTAAGACAATCTCTAATACCTTAAGAACTAGATAACCAGGCAGCATTACCAAGTTTTTATGGCTTAATTATAACTGTTTCTCATAAACTTTATTTCCAGCCCCTAATTCAACTGAAGGAATCTCCATATTTATCTTTTATCATGTGGCTTTAAATTTCCTGCTGAAATAATATTTTATTTAGAGTTGCAATACATCAAGAGACACCTACAGATTTGAAGAAAATGCAAATTGAAATGACAGTGAGATGTCCTGCACACCTATTAAAATGGCTAATACTAAAAAGAATGACCTAGGAATTATTGGAGAGAATGTGAAACAATTGGAAACCTCATACATTGCTGGTGGGAATACAAAATGATATAATCAGTTTGGAAAAGAGTCTCAATTTTTAAAAAAGTTGAACAATCACCTACTATATGCCCCAGCCTATCCACTTCTAAGTATTCATCCAAGAGAAATGAAAACTTATGACCATATGAAGGCTTGTATGACACAAATATCTATAGCAGTTTTATTTGTTAAAAATTGCTAATTTATTTGCCAAAAATTAAAAACTACCCAAATGTTTTTGTATTTTTAGTAGAGACAGGGTTTCACCGTGTTAGCCAAGCTGGTCTCGAACTCCTGACCTCGTGATCCGCCTGTGTGTGGTGGCATGCGCCTGTAGTCCCAGCTACTCAGGAGGCTGAGGCAGGAGAATCACTTGAACCTGGGAGGCGGAGGTTGCAGTGAACCAAGATCTTGCCACTGCACTCCAGTCTGGGCGACAAGGTGAGACTCCATCTCAAAAACAAAAAACAAAAAACAAAACAAAACAAAACAAAAAACTACCCAAATGTCCATCAACAGGTGAATGGATACTTCTCCACACAAAAAAGTGAACTCTTCATACACACAATATGAATAAATCTTGAAATAATTATACTGAGTGAAAGAAGTCATGCAATAAAGAATACTTATCATAGTTATTTTATTTATATAAAATTCTTAAAAATATGGACTAATCTACTGTAATAAAAACCAAATCAATTGTTGCACGGGGATGAGGGGATAGGGAGGAGCAGGAGAAAGAAATTACAAAGGTGTGAAGAACATGTTGGGGATAATAGACATGTTCATTATCTTGATTTTGATGGTAGCTTCGTGAATATATGCATATATCAAAGCCTATCAAATTGTATACTTTAAATATATGCAACTTATTGAGTGTCAATTATAACTCACCAAAGCTGTTAAAAATAATTAAATAAAATTAAATATTCATTATTAAATATCAACCAGAAATGGATGAGACTTTCTATTTAAAATCACTCCAGAAAATTACCGTCTGAAAGGGACATTCCTAAATAACATTTCTAAATTATAAAGTGGAGCTTAAAAGCCTTATTAAAACATTTTTTGTTTTAAACAGTAACTGAAAATCATGAGATGAGCAATGTTAAACAACAAAATTACAACATAGCCTTTGAAAACAGAAATAATAGAAAGAAAAACAATGTAACAATGTGTCATGTTTTTGAGTATAGAAATTAAAATGTTTTGGGCTTTCAAAGAAAGAAAGGACAGATTTTTCAAACTTGTGTAAAATTAACTTGATAATGATAATGTGATAGCAAAGCATTTTATGAGAATCAAAGGGAGTAAAATATAATTTTCTTAGGGCTTCATTTGCTCGTCTTTGCCTTGTTTCTTAAGATAAAAGCTGAGGTCATTTATGTAAGACCTTTCCTTTTTACTAATACAGGTTTTTAGTACTTTATAATTTCTTCTAAATACTATCTTAAATGTATCCCACAAATTTTGATGTGCTGTGTTTTTATTTTCATTAAATTCAAAATACTTTTTAATTTCTCTCTTTTTTTTTTGAAAAACATCTGGGTTGTCTAGAAGCATGTTATTTAGTCTCTAAGCATTTGAAGATTTTTCCAGATATAATTCTATTGTTGATTTTTAAAATTTATTTTCACTGTAATTAGGAAACATACTTTGTGTGACTTGACTCCTTTTAAATTTATTGAGACTGGTTTTATGGCCCAATAAAATATGATCTCTCCTGATAAATTTCATGTAAACATTTTTAAAAGCTTTGTGCCCTGCTATTTTTGTGTGGATTGTTCTATAAATGTTCATTAGGTCAAGTAGATTGAAAGTGTTGTTCAGGTTTTATATTCTTTATAGTGATATCAATTATATTAATTATTGAGAGATAATTGCTTAAATCTTCAACAATTGTGGGTTTATCTGCCTCTCCTTGCAGTTATGTCAGTATTTGCTTTATGTGTTTTAAATCTCTGTTCAAAAGTACATCAGCAATTAGATTTGTTATGTTCTTTTATTGAATCTTTATGAAATGACTTCCTTTATCTCTGATAACATTCTTTTGCTCAGAAATCTACTTCATCTCATATTAATGGGGCCATTCCAGCTCTTTTTTTTTTTAGAATAGTATATCTTCTTCCATCCTTTTACTTTAATATATTTGTCTCTTAATTTTTAAATTATATTTCTTATAAATATGTATAGTTGAACTTGCTTTTTTATCTAATATTTACAAAAGCAAAGCATGGAATCAATGTAAGTGCCCATCAGTGGTAGGCTGGATAAAGAAAATGTGGTACATATACATGATGGAATACTATTCAGCCATAAAAAGAATGATATCATATTCTTTGCAGCAACAAAGATGGAACTGGAGGCCATTATCCTAAGCTAACTAACACCGGGGCAGAAAACCAAATCTGCATGTTCTCACTATAAGTGAGAGCTTAACATTGTACACATGGACACAAAGAAGAGAACCACAGATACTAGGGTCTATTTGAGGGTGGAGAATGGGAGAAGGGGCAAGATCAAAAAACTACCTTTCAGATACTATGCCCGTTACCTGTACACCAAAACTCACAACACACGTTACCTATGCAACAAACCTTGCACATGTACCCCTGACACTAAAAGTTATAAAAAATACATGTCAATCACATCTAAAAAATGAAAAATAAATAAATAAAATTGCCAGCACATAAAAAAATCTTTGCCATTTAACTGGAGTGTTTGGATCATTTACATTTAATGCGATTATTGTTATAGTAGGGTTTAACTCTACAATCTTGCTGTTTTCTGTTTATATCATTTTTGTTTTTCCTTCCTTTTATGCCTCTTTTGTATAAATTCATTATTTTTGTGATTCCATTTTATCTCCCCTTTTTAGATTATTAGTTATGAGTCTTTGTCATGCTATTTTAGTAGCAATTTTGGGGGTGTATAGTATACATATTTAACTTATCACAGTCTTTCTTCAATATTATACCTGTTCGTATATGGCATAAGAACCTTACAACAGTGTACTGTTGTTTCTTTCCACTCAACCTTTGTGGTACTTTTGTCATACATTTTATTTCTTTGTATATACTAAACTCCATATATATTGTTATTTATTTTTTATTGTAAACATTCATCACCTTTTAAAGAAAATTAAGAAAAAAGTCTCTCTTTTTACCCACGTAGTTACCTTTTTCTCGTGCTCTTCATTCATTTACATAGATGTAAGAGTCCCTTTATTATGAATTTTCTTCTTCTTAAAATATTTTAATATTTTTTGTAATGCATATCTGCTGATGATTTCTCTCTCAGCTTTTGTAGGTTGATATGGTTTGGCTATTTCCCCACCCAAATTTCATCTTGAATTCCCACATGTTGTGGGAGGGACCAACCCCATGGGATTTAATTGAATCATGGGGTCAGGTCTTTCCCAAGCTGTTCTGGTGATAGTGAATAAGTCTCATAAAATCTGATGGTTTTATAAAGGGGATTTCCCTGCATAAACTCTCTTCTCTTGTGTACCACCATGTGAGGCATGTCTTTCACCTTCTGCTGTGATCATGAGGCCTCCCAAGCCATGTGAAACTGTGAATCCATTAAATCTCTTTCTTTTGTAAATTTCCCAGTCTTGAGTATGTCTTTATCAGCAGCATGAAAACAGACTAATACATAGGTCATATAGTCTTATTTTACCTTCAATTCTGAAAAATATTTTCACTGGGTGAGGAATTCTAGGCTGACAATTTTTTTTGTTTGTTTCAATTCTGTAGAAAACTGCTCCAGAAGAGTACTTCTAGAATGAGATAGTAAAGACCCCTGAAACCCACTCTTTCATAAAATCAATGATATCACTAGCATAAGAAATATAAGAATAAAAATTTCAGAACACTGAAAATTAACCAAAAACTTGCATTAATCTGAGGAGTGCTTATTCAAGGAATAAGACTGAATATCTGGGAAAACTGCAAGCTTTGTGGTAATTTAATTTGCCACATCCTCATCCTCCTCTAATAAGTTCTTTGGAAGCCTTGAAAATCACCAGCAATGTAATCATGGTAACCATGAAAACCAGCAATTTATTAGCCACTGTAGGGGATGGAATGAGTTTGGAGTTCTAAAAAGCTGCCCTATTGCCACAGGATTGTCATTATCTGATAGTTCCCTGAATACTTCCACTCACAGAACATGTTTTTATTTTATCTGACTTTAAGATCCTTCAGTGTGAACATATTTTTCCATGGGCTACTTGTCAGAAGCAACTAGCAACAACTGTTGAATATTGTAGCTATCTCAAGTGGTGATAATAGTTAGGGCAAACAATTTAGCCAAAGAGCTGTAGCAGCTATACTAATACCAGACAAAACAGACTTTAGGAATTGTTACTAAAGAAAAAGAAAGACATTTTGTAATGATAAAAGGGTCAATCCATCAAGGAAGCATAACAGTTATTAACAAATATGCACCTAACACTAGGGCTTGGAAAAGGAAGCAAAAAAGCAGACAGAATTGAAAAGAGAAACAATTCAATGACAATTGTTAGGTACTTCATTACTCTAGTTTCAATAATCAATAGCACAACTAGACAGAAGATCAACAAAGAATTAAAAGATTTGATTACAACTATAAACCAACTAGACCTACATACATCTATATAACATACATCTATATAACACTTCAACCAACAATAGTAGAATATTTATGCTTCTCAAGTGTACATGCAATGTTCTCTAAAATAGAACATATGTTAGTCCATAAAACAGCCTCAGTAAATTTAAAAGGACTGAAATAATTCAAAGTATGTTCTATGACCACAATTAAATGAAATTAGAAATCTTACTTTAAAACTGGGTCAGACTTAAATGTAATAACTAAAGCTGTACAAGTCTTAGATGAAAACATAGTTGTAAATGACCATTATCATGTATACGGCAATGTTTTCTTAGAAATGACCAAAAGCCATGAGTGACAAAGGAAAAAATACATACATTAAACTTAAAATATATCAAGTTTAAATTAATTAAAAAACTTTGGTGCTCCAAAAGATAATATGAAAGTCCATACACAAACTATAAAATGGGAGAAAATGTTTGCAAATAATACATCTGAGAAAGAACTTGTATCCAGAATATACACAGAACTTTCAAAACTCAACAACAGAAAGACAATCCAATGTTAAAATGTGCAAAGTATTTGAATAGACATGTCTCCAAAGAAGATATTCAAGAGGCCAATATACACAGGAAAAAATTATCAAAATCATCTGTCATTAGGGAAATGCAACTCAAAACCACAACAAAGTATTGTTTTCTATAGATTAGGAGGGCTATAATCAGTAAGATGAACAA
The DNA here is from genome assembly GCF_000001405.40 of Homo sapiens. Classification (NCBI taxonomy): domain Eukaryota; kingdom Metazoa; phylum Chordata; class Mammalia; order Primates; family Hominidae; genus Homo; species Homo sapiens. Next base: position 116,986,201 of record NC_000006.12, read on the forward strand.
TAACAAATGTTGATGACGATGTGGAGAAACTGGAACCTTCATATATTGCTGGTGGGGATGCAAAATTATGTAGCTTCTGTGAGAAACAGTTTGGAAATTTCTCAAAAGTTTAAACAGAGTTACTATTATGGCCAAGAAATTATACTCTTAGTTCTTTACCCAAGAGAAATTAAAATATATACTACACCACACAAAAAGTTGTGCACAGATATAATTATTCATAATAGCCAAAAAGTGGAAACAAGTCAAATATCTGTCAACTGATGAATGAATAAACAAAATGTAGCATATCAATATAATGAAATATTTAGCCATAAGAAGGAATAAAGTACTAATACAGGCTATAAAATACATGAACCATGGAAACATTATGGCGAGTGAAAGAAGCCAGACATAAAAGATAACATATTGCATGATTTCATTCATATGACATTTTAAAAATAGGTGAATCCATAGAGAAAGGAAGATTAGTAGTTGCCAGGGCCAGGGTTGGGAAATGAGGACTGACTGCTAATAGGAACAGGGCTTCTTTTGGGGATAAAGTGTTCTGGAATTAAATAGTGGTTATAGTTGCACAGATTGTGAATATACTAAAAATTATTGAACTGTACAATTTTAAAAGGTGAATTTTATGGTATATGAATTATAACATGATTTTTTAAAAGATTCTATAAAAAAGGTTGCTACACTGTTTTCTAGTTTGCATTATTTCTGACCAGAAGTCTGCTGTCGTCTTATTTTGGTTCTTCCAAGTACAATGTGTCTTTGTGTTCCTCTGGCTGATTTTAAGATTGCCGCCTTTTCCCTGGTGTTATGCAAGTTCATTGTTATGTACTTTGGTCTAACTCTTTCAGGTTTCTTGTGCTTACACTTTATTGAGATTCTTGAATCTGTGAGTTTATTGCTTTTATTGTGAACTCTGGAAACTTTTATGTACTATTTGTTCAAAACTTTTTTTTTCTGTGCCTCTCCCTAACATTTTGGGCATGTTGATTACATATGTGTATGAGGCTGTTGGAAGTTTCCCCAAAGCTCACTGAAGCTGTAGGGAATTTTTCCCCCCTTTTATTCATTCTTTTTTCTGTTTTTAAATTTATTAATCTTCTGCTGTGTCTAATCTGCTATTCATTTAATCCAGTGTATTTTTCATTTCAGCTACTGTAGTTTCCATTTTAGAAGTTCAAATTTGTCTTTAAAAAAAAAAACCTTTCATGCTCTCCTTAACATGCTCATGCTTTCCTCTTCCTTCTTGAATATCTGAACTATGTTAATGCTAACCATTCTGGTGTCCTTATTTACTAATTCTACCATGTGTGACCTTTCTGGATTTATTTATTGATTGGCTTTTCTTAATTTATGGGTCTTATTTCCTATTTCTTTGCATGCTGATATTTTATATTGGATACTAGGTGTGAATTTCATCTTGTTAAATGTTGGATATTTTTATATTTTGTATTCCTTTAAATATATTTCATTCCAATTCTGATACGCAGTTAGGTGACCTGGAAACCATTTGTCCTTTTTAAGCTTTGCTTTTAAGCCTTGTTAAACAGAATTAGAGCAGCCTGTAGACTCAAGCTAATTTTTCTATATTACTGAGACAATGCCGTTCAGAGTACTCTACCCAATATTACATACATTACATGGTTTCTGCTCTCTGTCTATTGTAGCATATGCTATTCCCAGTGAGAGCTCTTAGGGTTGTTCCGCCTGCTCCTTTGGGGTTTTTTCCTCCAAGCTTCAGGTAATTTCCTTTCAAGCATGTGCTAATCAGTACCCAGGCATCCGTAGTGTGGAGGTAAGATGTTCTACTCAACTCCTGGGGTCCCTCTCTGGGCAGCTGTCTCCTCTCCAGTATTTTGTCCTGCAAACTCTAACTACCTTGGTATCCTTGAGCTCCCAGCTGTATCTGTTTGACTCTGGAAAACTATCAGAACTTGCCTGGGTTCCTCCACAAGGTGGCCTGAAAACTCTCCAGGCATTAAGTTGGATTATTGTAGGATATCTAGTTTGTTTCTCATCTCTCAAGAATTGCTGCCCTCTACTTCCTGCTGTCCAGTGTCTGAAAACAATTGTTTTCTATATTTTATCTGCTTTCTAGTGGCTTAAGGTAGGAAGTTAAGTCCAGTCCCTGTTACTCTATCTTGGCCCAGAGTGGAGATCAGGTTATGTATTTTTTATATTCCCAAATTTATTTCACTCTGAGTATAGGAAGTTATAACATTAAATTGTCTCCCAACTATTCCTGGGAGTTTCTCAGGTGATTCCTCTCCTATGCTTCAGAACACATTTCTCAGGTTATTCATTCATTTATTTATTCATATAATAGGTATTTATCGAGTGCTTATGATATCCAGGCACTGTTATAGGTGCTTGGGATACAATGAAAGACAAGAAAGACAAGCTTTCTGCTTCTGACAGTTTACATTTTGTTGGGGACAGCCAAACTGAACAAGCAAATATCAGAAAGCAGCAAATGCCACGTAGAAAACAAGTCAGATGCTGTAATAGAGAGTGAATAGAGGGAAGGATGGTAATTAACCTTAGGAGTTACCGAGAAGGTGACACTTGATCTGAGACCTGAATGATAAGAAAGTATCACCAATAAAAAATTGGGGAAAGAGAATTCCAAGAAGAGGAACTAGCAAACACAAAAGTCTTAAAAGAAAATGAGGGATAGAAAGAACAGCGTGGTCCAAATTTAGAGAATGATGATGAAAGTAGGAGGAGATAGGAGAGAAAGGCATGGACTTGTATTCTCAGTGTAAAGACAACGTGAGTGAGACATGCACCAGCTACTGCTTATTCCTACCAATACTGGTCTCTGTTCTCCCTTGTAGGCCTAGCCAATTCTGTTCTGCATTTAATCCTACCCCTGAACAAATGCTAATTACTCTAAACCAATCATGGTAATCCCTATGTATCTGGCTAGTGACTGGTTTTGAAAAAGGTGAGCGACAGAGACCTGGAAAATGAGACCTGAGAGGCAGTTTTTTAAGGAAAGATTCCCTTATTTATGAAAAGAGACCCACAGAAGGAGGTGGCCTCTGCTCTTTCATTAGACCAATGATTATCAACTGGGGACAAATTTGTACCCCAGGAGATATTTGGCAGTATTTGGAGATGTTTTTGTTTGTCACATCTGGGAGTATGTTACTGGTATCTACTAAGTACAGGCTAGGATTACTGCTAACCATTTTACAATGCATAGGACAGCCCACATAGCAAGGCAAGGAGTTATCCAACCCCAAATATCAATATTTCTAAGGTTAAGAAAGCCTACACTAGACACTCTTGGGTCTAAATGTGATTGCTACAACTGTTGTGGCCATCTTGCAACCAGGAATATTAGCTGATATGCTAAAGATGAAAAAGTGAAAAATAGAAAGACCCTAGGGATGTGATGTCTTTCAGCTGCTAAATAAACCAACTTATAACCATATCAGAACTTCTTGTTGTATGAACTATTACCTATGCTTATAGTTTGGACTATTTTGAGTTAAGCAGTTCCATATGGGAATCTAGAGTCCACAGGAGAGATGACATATTATTTGGGAGTCACCAACAAATAAATGAAACTTGAAGCCTTGGGACTGGAAGAGGGCATGGGTAGAGAACCAACATCAGGTAATGCCAACATTTATAGACTGGGTTGAGTCAGCACAGAAGACTAGGAGTCAGGAACAGCTAATAATAATATCTAATGCTTTTTATAGTGATTACTCCATGCCAAGCATTTTTCTAAATTCTTTGTAAATATTAACTCATTTAATCCTTATAAAAACTTTATGAGGTAGGGTTACTATTATCATCCCATTTTACATACAAGGAAAGTGAGTCATAGCTCAATTAAAGCCAATTTTTCCAAGGTTACAAAATTAGTAAATGTATAAGTTGGGATTCAAATCCAGGCAGTCTGGCACTATTGCTTCAATGTGTCCCCTCCTAAATTCAGATGTTCCCAATGAGATAGCATTAGGAGGTAGGGACTTTAAGTGGCGATTAGACTATGAGTGCTCCTCCCTGGTGTACGGGATTAGGTACCCTTATAAAAGGACTTGATGGAGGGCTTTTGTCCCTTCTTGCCCTTTTGCCTTCTGCCATAGGAGGATATAGTGTTCTTCCCCTCCAGAGGACTCTGCATTCAGGGAACCACCTTGGAAGCAGAGGGAAGGATGCTAATTCAGGTTAGGAGTCACTGAGGAGGTGACACTTGATCTGAGGCCTGAATGACAAGAAAGTACGACCAATAAAAATGGAGGAAAGAGAATTCCAAGAAGAGGAATTAGCAAACACAAAAGTCTTAAAATGGAAATGGAAAATGTGTATTTGAAGGATAGAAAGAACAGTGTAGCCAGAATATAGAGAATAATGATGAAACTAGGAAGAGATAGAAAGTGGTAGGAGGTGAGGGAACCTCACTTAAGGGAACCCTCACTCGATAATGAACCTGCCAGTCTTAATTTAAAACTTCTCAGCCTCCAGAACTATGAAAATTAAATTTTTGGTTTTTTAAAATAAACTAAACAGTCTCAAATATTTTCTTACAGCAGCACACATAGACTATGAAAGGCACCAAAGTCTAAACTATCTTGTTATACAACATTTCTAGCATCAGAAACGTGGTTTCATAGATGGTAAGAAAGGTAAGTGCTTAAGAAAAGAGGAAATAGTCAGCTGTGTTGAATGCTATTAATAAATCAACTAAGAGGGCAGAGAGATGTCAGTTGGATTTGGCAACATGAAGAACATTGATGACCTTGACATGAGCAGTTTTCAGTTCCTTAGATAAAAAATAAGCTTATACATGTGGATTCAGAAGTGAATAGGGGATGAGAATTCTAGATTTAAAGTTTAGAATTTTATTTAATTGTTATCTGTTTAATTGTTGTGTGAAAATATAGGAATGAAAGAATATTGTAGACTTTAAGTAACTAAGACCTAAAATACATAATATAGACAAGACAATTATGGTCAAATTAGCCAGACATGAATTAGAATACTTCATTTGTAACTTGAAATAATTATAAAATAGGTATGTGATTGATTTTGCCACCTGCCAAACATTATCAATGAATTTTTCATTTCATTTCTTCTCTAAATATTCTTTTCTCTTATTTTTACCCTCTCATTTTGCATGCTTTGAAGTAGAGACCTGTGCCTCCAGAAGGAGCACAATCATGTCTATCAAATTATGGCCTTGACTATCACTGAGGCATTGAATTCCACAAGTATGTGCCTCTTAACCTCTAATGAGCAGCAGGTTACTGTAATTCTGTGTGTGAATTTCTGGGACAGACATTACAGGCGTTTCTCTCATTGTGATAAATATCTAGGGAATCTCGCTGCAATGTTGGCATAGTAAATCTTAAATTTGAGTATATCCTAGCATCAAATTATGGTGTACTACACAGGTGATAAAAACAAACTAGACGAACATTTTTGTTTGCATCTACTGGCTTTAAGAGGCTATCTTATGGTACCAATGTGTTCTTTAGAGAATTGGCTGGTCATGTAATATTCTTCTATATCTCTATAATTAAAGTGGTTTGTAGCTCAAACTCTTAAGCTGGACTTTAAGCAAAATGGCCATGAAATGCCACTCTTAGTAATAATAAAATGATTTTTAGGGATTAAAAAGAATGATCCAAATTGGGATACATAAAGAAAGCATATTGTCTTGATTATTATTTAATCTGAATATTTTCTCTATGGATACAGTCATGGCCATAATTCCACAGAAGTAGCATTGTGATATGGTGTCAACTGTGTATTAAAACCTGTGTTCACAGAGGTGAAATTATTATATTTCTATATTTTAAAAAGTCATTATCAAACATCAAGCTGTTGACTATTCCTTTGCTAGGTTCATTTTAATAATCACAGAGAAAGAAAACACTAGGTTGCTAATATAGAGCCCAGAAGAAATGTTTGCAACTAACTAGTGGCACAATTTTAGCTAGTTATTTAACCCATATGAGTCTCGATTTTCTTATGTGTAAACTGGGAACAGTAGTGTCTATTTGGCATGTAATAAGTTATCAGTAAATGTTATCTAATTCCAACTCTAGTGGGCTGGTAGCATCATATTTATGTACAAAAGTCAGGACATGATCAATGTGATGATTCCCATGATTCAAATGGAATATGACAATCAGGGTAATTGTGGCCTAGGAAACCATTAAACATACAGAAGATACTCATTTATTCAGATGTCAATGCAAATCTAGCCCTAAATTAAAGAGGCCGTATTAGATAACTTATCAGAGACATTCATCCTCCAAACTGAAACAAAAGATAAACATCTATGTTTTGCCTAAACAAATAGAAAGAATCTAACTGTGATGCAAATTGGGATAAAACTGTAGAACTTGCCTGATCATTTTAGTTCTGGAGTGTCCCTCACATCAGTCAACATGGCATGACTCCTTGGCTTTGATTTTTGGCACTAATTGTGATCTTTAAAAAAAAACTCATAAATTCATTTGATTGAGTTTCTGTGGCACAGATCAAGTTTGTACTGGTAGAGCCAAGTCATGAACTTTCCCTCTGCTTTTCCTTGGCTCACTCTCCAAAGTTCTTGCTGCTCTTCCTGCAAAGGACAGTGACTTGCTTGGCTGCCAGCTGCCATGCAGCAAGTCTGGACTCAGATTTTTGTCTCTAACAAAACCAATGAAAGTCTGCATTCAGGTTTTGTCTGTAACAAAACCAATGTTTGGAAATGAAGACACTCAGTTTATCAATCTCTTAGTTGACAGAAAACAACTGGTTTGACTAATGTTTTCATTTCATTAGCAGGTGATTAATGCCCTGAATATAATACATATTGAGGTTTAATAGAAAGAATACAGGCTTAGGGATCAGAAAGACTGGGCCTAAAGTCAAGACTTTAAAGCACCTCTTTGATTTTTAGGTTCTTTATGTATAGAATGGTTGTAATCAAGCCTGTGCCATAACATTTTGGTGAGGAATAAATGAGGTAGCATAGTGTAAACTGCTTGGGTTTAAGGAAAGGTAACTAAAAGTGGTATGAAAGAGGAGAAGAGAATGGGAAAGGAGGCCCAGTTAGGTGATAATAGTAATATATAGGTAAGAAATGATAAGCATGTAACAATAGTAGTGGTGAGAGATTAAACACACACACACAAACACACAATGCTTCTGGGATCTATTTTAGATGAAGGAGTAGATGTAGCTGGAGGGTAACAGAGATAAAATGTAAGACTGTGGGAGAAGCAGACCTTCAAGGAACCAAGATGGCTCTAGTTTTGCACATGTCAAGTTTAAGATGCCCACTGGACATCCAAGCAGAGTTCAGGGAAGGGGTGCAGGCTGAAAATGCAAACACAAGAATCATCAACATATGGATGATATTTAAAGCCATGAGGCCAAATGAGATCACCAAAGAAACACACGCAGAAGGAAAAGAGCAGAAGATCAAGGGTTGAGCATTGAATGGAGCCTTGAGAACAACAATGTCCAGAGGTGAGACTGATGAGGATGTGCCAGAAGAGGAGATCAACTAAGATGATCTTCTTTTCTGAATTCATTTACATTTTCAATATGTTTGAACACCTTTGTGATTTTCCATAGTAAATAGGAATTTTCTTAACATTCTTCCAGAAAAATCTAGAAAAGGAATAGTTGTTATAAATTATAATGTTATAAATCCAAGGTGTAAAGAATACATGTGTAATAAAGCTGCACGTTCTGCACATGTATCTTGTTTTTTTACAAGAAATAAAAATAAAAGAAATTCATTGATTTTAGACTTTTAAATATGTATGCAATTTCTATAAACATAAAGGGAATATTAAAAAAATACATGTGTACATGTGATTTCATAATATTCCAATTTGTTTCCGTTTGTGTAAAAGGTTTAATTTATACTGTAGTTCAAAGGTACAAAGAATAAATCCTCAACATGTGTTTTCATTTCATATCTCAGTTTCTGTACCCTTTTATTTACAGCAAAAGATAAATGAAGGCAAAAAGTTCACCTCAGAATTTGTCCTCCATGGTAGCTTAAAAACACAAAGGTTTGAACTAGTGTTTTGAAAGACAGGTTCTGTTTCAACAATTTCCATTTTTCTAAGAATGATCATTCAAAAAATCATATGGTGTACAAGGAAGACTTTATGTAAGATGTTATTCTGTAGCAGGGTTTTGGCTTTCTCCTTTTTGATTCCCTTATTGTCAGCTATTCATAACACAAATGCTTTTGTCCTTTTCTCCCTCTCCCTGCCACAATAGACCAAGTAATTAACCAAGTGAAGAGGCTGTCAATTAAACACTGATACTAATCTAGGCATAAAAGGTTCTTTAGGGAACATTGGTTTTGAACATATTTTCAGCATTATCAGCATTGATTTTATTCAATCCAATTCTCATACAATCGAGTGCTCCAAATATTTACATGCCATCCAGGCAACACTTGCAACATGGATGACCCACAATGTAGAAACAGCGTTCACAAAGAATGTACGGAGAATAAGCTCTCTATTGTGCCTCCAAGGCCTGTTTTCCCGGGAATAGATGTTCCATCATTAATTAATGTCCCACATCTTTAATGATAAGATTGTCAAGGACAATTAGGGAAATGATTACAAGTGTCCTTGGCAACTGGAATGCCCCGCAGATTTTAGCTTACTTTCCCTAAGTGTTGCTGAAACGTCATTTCTTTGAAGTGTGAAGACTTAACCATACCTTGCATTGGTGGCATTGTGTTCAAATGTTATGCAAAAAGAAGACATGTTTTTAGCCTGATTTCTTTGGCACAAATAAGATATTTAAAAATAATTATATTGTTGTGTCATTGCTTTAGCAATTAACTCTCTGGTAGTAAATTCACTATCTAATAGTAAATTTTCTTGGGAATTAGTAGGGTTTATTATTACCTGTCTTGCTAATCTATTTGATAAATTTATATAAACATGCTATTCCTTAAAATAAATCCATTTTTAGCTATCACTAGCTATCAATGATTTTTCTCCTATCTCTTACTTTCACTTCGGTCTGTTGATACATTTATCCAAAGATACAGCTTTGTCTAAGCAGTCCCTGTAAGACATTTGGGCTTCAAGAATAGCCTCCTTCTCCAAACCATTGTCAAAAACTATGGAGAGTCTGCACTGTTACTCTATATTCAGGCTAATGAGTTGGCCTGCCACAGCCTCATCGATGCTGGCAGAAGACATGAGCCCTGGGTCAGTACTCAGAACTTTATTCCTCAAGGCACGGCAAACAGCAGGAGTATCACGTTCGTCGCCATTCTTCTTGCCTCTCAAGTCCCACAGGGGTAACAAAACAGGCCCAAGTGGATGCTGCACATACAGAGAATCACAGCTGAAGAAGCTTAAGTTTAGAGAACTCTGATCTTTTATAATAGGCAGTAAGCAAACCTGTGTGACCTTTGCTCCAGAGAAGGAAATTATCTTTAACATGCTGGACAGGAAGCAAACCGGCTTGCTGCTTCAGTGGAAGACACTCTATTATCTAAGGCTGTTTGCTATACGAACATCCTTGTGAAGATAAAGGTAAGGAGTGTCTCTGTTTGGAGGACATGCAGAAACATGAGAGACCCATGGAGAGTTGTCTCCCAAATCCTTTTTCTAGAAGTAAGACATTAATCATGAAAGAATGTTGAGATGTTTCAACTATAATTACCTTTGGAAGGAGGAGTTCAAACTACGCATGTCCCATCCCCCTAACATTTTAATAACCCATTTTAATAACCTTTCCCAACCCACTCCTAGCCCTTTCCCCAAGCATATTATTTCCTTCCTGATAGTAAAATACCTGTGACACTTTCAATGTTTTTTCTTTTGTACTAGCCACAGACATATGAGTCAAGTCTAATGCTCAATCCCATAAAATTATGGCAATGCATATCAATAGTTTATTTACGTCTTCCTTTTTTCTTAGCCCCGATTTTTAATTTACTTTTTATAATATATTGCACATGTTCTGTATTATAAACTGCTTTAAATTATTTTGGGAAAGAAGCTGCTATATATATTTTAAATAAATGCCAAATAATGAAAAGATTGGATAGGCCAAAATAGTTGACTACATAAAAAAGTTTCAAAAACAGATAAATCACAACTAATCTCTCTAGAGGCAGTACAAAGCATTTTTTCATATTTATTCATTACATAGTTATTTGCCACACTTCTTTAAAATATTGGAAAGGTAAGAATAGACAACATCATAACAACGCATATAATTTAAAATTTCATATTATTTACTGGTAATAATAGCAATGTGTTTATTATATTTAAAAATATGAGAAATTTAAAGAAGAAAAATTAAATTATCCACAGCACCCCACCAGCCAGATATAAAACAAGGCTAACTTTTAAATGTAGTTCCATGCAATTTTTATATATAAATATATACATTACATAATCAAAATTGTGTATGTACAGATTACTTACTGTTTTTTTGTTTTGTGAGGGTATTCAAACTATGCTGATATTATTTAAAAATGTAAGTTTTGAAATGGCCTCATTTTTTTTCATCATATGGCCAAACTATAATTTACTAAATATTTTCCTATGGTTTACTATTTGTTTATAATTTTCCCAGTAAAAATTCTGTAGCATATTACCTTATACACAAATAGTTGTCCACATTTGTGATTATTTTCTTGGGACAGAGTGATGGTTAATTTTAGGTGTCAACTTGACTGAATTAAGGGATACCCAGAGAGTTGGTAAAGTAGCACTAATTGTCAATTCTTGCATTAAGTATCCTCAACGCTTCAGTAGGCACTGAGCCCATCCCCCTCTGCTGAAAGGGGAAACCAGGTGGTTTGGCATTTGATTAGAACATTAAGCCTGTCGCAGGTGTGTCTCTGAAGGCATTTCTGGAGGAGATTTCTGGAGGAGATTGGTATGTGAGTCAGTGGACTGAGCTGGGGAAGATTTGCCCACAACGTGGGTGGGCACCATCCAGTCAGCTGGGGTCCTGGATGGAACAAAAAGGTGGAGGAAGGGAGAATTCTCGCTCTCTAGAGTCGGGACACTCTTCTTCTCCTGTCTTTTGATATTAGAACTCCAGGTTCTTCTTTGGGTTTTACACTCTGGGACTCACATTAGTGGCCCCCAAGGGCTCTCAGACCTTGGGCCTCAGACTGACAGTTATACCAATGGCTTCCCTGGTTCTGAGGCGTTTGGACTTAGAGTAAGACATGCACTGGCTTCCCTGGTTCTCCAGCTTGCAGACAGCTTATCACGGGACTTCTCAGGCTCCATAATCAAATGAGCCAATTTCCCTAATAAATAGTTTCTCCTCTCTCTGTCTCTGTCTCTCTCTCTCTCTCTCTCTCTCTCTCTCGTGAAAGGAAAATAAAATCTAGGGACCCCGATTCACTATGCTAAAAGAAAAAAAATTAAGCCGAAAGCTGAGTCATGCAAGAAACTGCTAATCGGGAATTCTCTTGTTCCTAAGCTACAGATAAAACCTGCAGATAAAAGGCCAGATACCTCCACAGGTACTACTCTATCTTCACCTTATCTTATGTGAAGTGCTGGTTTACTGACCACGAGATGAATACATAATTGAATCTTTCCGTACTTGCTCATTTTCTCTTGTAACATGTGGATTCAGTAATATGACCATCACCTACCTCCCTCTTTCCCCTCCAGCCTTCTTTTCTCCTTTTAAATAATGAAGCCCTCAAAATTATCACTGGAGAAAGGCAAACACCACAGATTGTTTCTGTGATTTCTGTGTTCCTTTATCCAGGCATGTCCTTAAACCTTGGCAAAATGAACTTCTAAATTGATTGAGACCTGTCTCAGACACTTTTTGGTTTACACTACATTTATCTATCTATCTGTCTATCTATCTATCTATCTCTCTATCTTACTGGTTGTGTCTCTGGAGAACCCTGACTAAAATACACTCCTAGAAATGCAATAACTAGGTCAAATAACTAGGTTTAGACCTTTGAGGCACATTGGCAAGCTACTTTCTAGAAAAGTTGAATCAATTTACAATTCTGCCAACCACAAATAAGAGTGCCTGTTTTACCACAACCTGACCAGCATTGAGAATTATTTTTTATCTTGGATTAATAAATTAAAAATAAAATGTCAATGTTTTAATCATGTTTCTTTGTTATGAATGGGATTATTTTCAAATGCATTTTTTGGTCCTCTGTGGTGAACCATTTCATTGTCAATTTAGCCCCTTTGTTTTCCTATAAAGAATCATGGTTTTCTTATTGATTATATGAGATTATTATTCTTAAGCACATTTTGACTGTTACAGTTATGATTAACACTTCTTTTTAAAACAAAGTTTTCATTTTCTTTTGAAGTTTAATTTTTATGCTCAGAAATATGAGATGTATGCAGTCAAATATCTTACTACTTGTTTCATCGCTTTTATGATTTTAAATTTCTTGTCAATTCTGAAATCCCTTAAGTATTTTCCAGTATACTCTTCTAGTTTTGTGGGAGTTTTATAGTTAAATCTTTAATGCGTCCTAGGGCTAGACTCCAAAATGTTAAAACAGCAATGAATTATTTAACCAAACTCCCGGAACAGTACAGTAGAACCCAGCACTGGGAGGGCTGCAAAAAACTAATTGGGAATTCAAGTTCCTTTTTGCCCAGCACTGACTTCCACAGATATGAGCTTGACTTCTCCAGCTAGACCCTCGTCTGTCTCTGATGTTTAAGCATTATATCATCTAGAGTTTAAAAACTGCATTTGGTGGTAGGGCAGCACATGTGAACTGTGGTTTGGCCAAACATTCTCTAGTTATGTATCTAAATTTTGTCTTCTAACCATGTTTTCAGCCCCACTCCCAGTCTTCAACTTACACATAGCTAGAGGGACTGTCCCCTTACCCTCTCTTAGAGACAGCTCCTCCCCACCATGTTCTTTACTGAGGAATCTGCATCATGAGTAGTAGACTTCTCTACTAAATTTCTTATAGGTAGGTTGTGAGGACACTGCATTAGCACGCCTACTGTTGACTCCAGAGCCAAACTGGCTGGGCTTGAATTACATTTCCCTAATGCTGGAACTGTGTAAACTTGGGCAAGTACATTGATCTTTCATCTGATTATTGAGAGTTCTTCTGCAATGGGAATTCCACAAGGGAGACAAATATCACATGTCCTAGATCCATCCAAAGAGGTTCATCCACGAAACTTTTCACTAGACCGCCTTGTCACCAATCTGCAGATCCCGCTGTTGCCATAAATCTTCCTTATAATGCATCTAAATCATTAGCTATTGCTCATTAATTCGTATAGATTTGTACTTTAGTCCAATTTTCCTTCCAGAAAAGTGAATACCCAGATATACAGTCATCTTCCAAAGTACCTAGGCTTGTGTGTGTTGGGGTGGGGGGAGGTTATTTATTTTTTTATTTTTAGAAAGAGTCCCACTCTGACTCCCAGGCTGGAGGGCAGTGGCATGATCAGAGCTCATTGCAGCCTCAAACTCCTTGGCTCAAGCCATTCTCCTGCTGCAGCCTTAACAAGTAGCTGGGACGACAGACATGTGCCACCATGACTGGCTAAGTTTTAATTTTGTCTTTTTTTGCAGAGACAGGGTTTTACTATGTTGCCCAGGCTAGTCTCAAACTCCCAGCCTCAAAGTGTTGGGATTACAGGCATGAGCCACCGTGCCCGACGTAGGGTTGTGTTTCCAAAACTTTGATGTGCATACAGATCAGTTGAGATCTTGTTAAAATTAAGACTGATTCAGTAGCCGTTGGGATTCTACAATCCCACATTTCTTAAACATTTCCAGGCGATGCTGCTGTTGTTGCTGCTGGTCTAAGGCCAGTATTTTGAGCAGAAAGGGTCAAAGTTGCCCTTTCTTGTTCATCAGGTTCTTTCACCATGATGTCTTCTGGGATGGCAGGATTATCAAAGTCCCTCAGTCTTAACTAATAGAGCCAGAGAACTGATATAGCCCTGAAGCAATATGATGAAAGTATAAGGATATCCCTGCCTAAAAGTTAAATGAGTTAAAATTCATAGTATTATTTTGGGATTATAATTAGAATTATTTTAGGCTTATTGGTATGGGAAAGATACAGTCACCATATTAATAGCTATTTATCATATACTGGAGTCTTCAATGCAACAGCAGCTACAACTGAATTCACAGCCTGATTAAACATGTGATAACACAGCTCTTCTCTAAGTTCCACCAAATATTTGACAAGGTACTGTCACCTGATGTCCTCAAGATTAAGTATTGTTTTTGTTTGCTATTTTGTTAACTAATGGGAACCTAAGGGACTTCTACTTCATACTTTCTCTCATGTACTGACATGCTAATCCATATGTCAGAGAAATGGACAGGAATTTTATCAGATGTTGAAAAAAGTGTATTTTATACATAGAGGAACAGATAAAACAAACATAGAATAGCTTCATGGACTCACTTACTATAAGATAAACTTGGGCCAAAACTTCACTTACTGTCTGAATTCCATAAGCCTCCACTGTGAAGGGTATATTACAAGCAGCATTTTGAACTCACAGCAAATAGCTCCAAACCAGTGTTCCATAATCCTCCAAAAATATATATCCTTAACTAATCCTAACCCTAACCCTCTGTATATTCTGATCCTGGAAGCAGTTGCAGATCCCTTTATGGATGACTAGGTGGAAGATTTACTGAAGTCTCTGTCAATTGACACAGGTCTGAAGCCATAATTCAAGTCATAATAACTCAAGTCTGGCTTTTGTGCATCAGCCCTGGATTTCTTTTGGTTACACAGACTAAGACCTCAGAAGGCTATCCATCTATTTCAGTTCTAATAATCAGTCAGCCACCACAAGAGGCCTGCTGCATATTACAGTAACCACATCTACCTGATCCTTGAGGTTAAGGATCAACATCATTGATCTCATCATTCCCGTTGAAAATAGGGACCATATTTCAATGACAGCATCTCCTTTCATTCTAGCCTCAGAGAGCAGCACTACAGCACTTTTCTAGGCAACTGGCATTCCCCTTATCTAACGTACCTGTCTGTGTCTTGATGAAGAGTGTGTCTCCTGAGTCCTACTGGGGGACAGGATTGGAGGAGGACATAGTTATACATGATAAATCTACCCCATCTTCCTTGTCCTTAAAACACCTAAACATTTGTAGTTGTTATTTACATTAAAGCGAATAATGTCTGGTGTCTCATGTTGATTCAGCTTAAGCCACTGTTGAGTTCACTTTTGGTTTACCAGCTGAACAAGCAATTAAAATAATTTCTAGACCCTGAAACTTGAACACTAAATCCAAGATTCCTGGGAACTGTATTTACGTTCCACCCTATCTCATCAAGAATTCCCAGAAGCCATTCATACATGCTGCCTGGGCTTCATCCAATGTAAGTTAAAAAAAATGTTTCAGTCCTTTTATAACGTAAACCTTTTCCTTCTAGGTTTGTTTGTTGTTATTAGCTCTTTGGAATATGCTGCTATTTAGCTCTCACTATTTAACTGAGGATAAAGAGGGGCAGTAAAGTTAGCTCATGTGAAAACTTGGCATTCTCTTCCAGGCTAACTACCTTGAGTGAAGTCATAATAGAGGCCCTAAGCAAGGCAAGACTAGCCTCTCAAACAGAGGCTACTTTTATTAGGATAGGAAACTCAGAGGGACTCTGGGGTCTGAGATGCTCTGACTTACTGAAATCCTTTAAAATTTGGCCATCTCAAATCTCGGTGTCTCATTTTTTCCCAACCAAAGCCTTTATTTTTACATGAGACCTAACACGACGGTAACATCAACCAACCTTATAATTCATCAACTGCGGGGTCAGACGCTGTGGCTACAAGAAGTAACAGTCTCATTTAGGGCCAATATAAAAACTTCCTAGCTGTTTTTTACTTTGTCTTTGGCTCAGAATTTAAAATCCTCAGACAATTATTTTTTTCCCTTAAAGGTCTGCAGTACAATTATTAGTATAGGTGAACTTAAAACCTCACTGTAGTTTTTTTTCGCAATTATGCTCCTGCACCAAAACTTTAGTATGATGTTTCCATTCTATTGTTCTGTATTTTTTTTTCTATTGATCCAAGTAGTTTATTTCTTTTCTGTTTCTCCCAGTCTTTTTTTTTTTTTTTTTTTTTGAGATGGAGTTTCACTCTTATTGCCCAGGTTGGAGTGCAATGGCACAATCTCGGCTCACTGCAACCACCGCCTCCTGGATTCAAAGGATTCTCCTGCCTCAGTCTCCCAATAGCTGGGATTACAGGCGCACACCACCATGCCCAGCTAATTTTTGTATTTTTAGTAGAGATGGGGTTTCACCATGTTGGCCAGGCTGGTCTCAAACTCACGACCTCAGGTGATCTGCCTACCTCGACCTCCCAAAGTGCTGGGATTACCGGCACAAGCCAGCGTGCCCAGCCCTTTCTCCAGTCTTTAATTATGTTTGAATGCAGAGAAATCGATCTGGACTTAGATTTGCCAATAAATAGAGCACATGAATTCCCCCTTTGTTCTTACTCTGTATGTGGAATTTGATAAACCTAACTTCTCAGATATATAGTTAGAAAGCAGATGTAATCCATAGCTCCAACTTCACTTCCCATTGAATAGCAGTGTTTTATGTCATACAGCTCTTACCATCACTCTACCTTGTTCTCTATCATGCTGCAATGATGCTATACATTAAAAACTGCCATTTTCAACATATTCACTGCCATCAGGCCTCTTTCCTTGTTACCCATTGTATTTGTTCTCATGTTGATAATAAAGACATACCCAATACTGGTTAATTTATAAAGGAAAGAGATTTAATTGACTCACAGTTCCACATGGCTGGGGAGGCCTTAGAGAACTTACAATCATGGCGGAAGGGGAAGCAAACACGTTCTTTTTCACATGGTGGCAGAAAGGAGAAGTCCTTGGCAAAAGGGGAAAAGGCCCTTATAAAACCATCAGATAGCCTGAGAACTCACTCACTATCACGAGAGGAGCAGCATGGGGGTAACTGTCCCCATGAGTCAATGACCTCCTACCATGTCCCTCCCACAATACATGGGGATTATGGGAATTATAATTCCAGATGAGATTTGAGTGGAAACACAGCCAAACCATACCACCCTTTTATACAAACTTTCTGTAACAACCTGTAGTTAATCACCACCCCTACTCCACCTCCAATTTCTGCCATGTTTTCTTGGACTAAGTCACTCACTACATGAGCAAATAAAAGTAAATAAAATACTTTTTTTTTTTTACCCATGTAGTAGGAAATAAAATATTCCAGCCACTTCAAACAGAAACTCCACCAAGCTGGCCAGTTTTACAGTTAGTATAGAATATGGTTCTCTCATGCTATAGACCAGCACTGTCCATATAGAATGTGAGCCACAAATGCAAGCCACATATGTAGTTTTACATTTTCTGGTAGCCACATTTAAAATGTGCTCAATAGTCACATGTGACTGGTGGCTGCAGTATTAGACTGCAGGTCCTGACAGTCAGGGAGAGACATAAAAGTCTCCATTCCTGTGTTCATCTACCTACGGGTGACTCTTTTTGGTGGGTGAAGCATAAGTGAACTGCCAACTGTTTTTCCTAATTCTGTGCCTTCTCCCTTATGGTTACTAAAATTTCTGCCCATCCTCTGGAAATGGGTTTGATTATCCATTTAATTTTCTGTGGTGATATTATGTGTTATCTTTATCTGTATAGTTATAAGTGTTTTGTTGAAAATTGGGAGATGCATACCCAGACATAATTTTAAACCCTGTTAGATAAATTTTAAGCTTTTTTCCATTAGTATATCAGCAGCTGAGAAAAAATATACTCTGTATAATAAGTTCAAAGTCTAATGCATGATAAGGATTCATAGTAGCAAGAAATCTCTTCCATAACTTTTGTGTTTATAACAAATGTGTGTGTGTGGACAGGTTTCTAAGTAGTTGCTCTCATTTTTATTTTCTCTTTGTAGAGACAATGCGCAGTCATGCATCTGAAGGTTTTGCAGGAAGCTGAAAAATGTTCCCATTCTCTGCATTTGTTTACCAAACACTCTGCTTCACAGAAAACTAAACAATCGTGAAGTTTCTGTTTCAAAAAGTGGCTATTTTTCAGGAATGTGAATAGCTTAGAAAGACAAATCCTGTTTTTTTAAATGTTCAAGACTAAATAACCCTTCTTTACATTAAGTGGACAAAATTCATCCTTGAAATTTCCATTTTATTTGAAGTTGACACCTTCCTTTTCAAGAGACAAAATCAATAATTTTTTTCAGTTATAAGAATTTCTATTAAAATGAGCAAAATCTCAAAATGCAGAGAACTTGTGATATAATTAAAATAGGAATGTCAAAACCTGAGATTCTTGCAATGTAAAAATCCATTAATTCCTAATATTGTAATTATTATAAAAAATTCAAACTATAAAATTCCAATAGTTATAGCCTTACTATGAATTAATTGAAAACTACTAACACCAACTAAACATATATTTAACATTTTAATAACTCAGTTTAGTGTTCTTTTGAAAATAGATTTAATAGATTAAACAAAGTTAGCTGAATTGACTACATTATTGGTAGCCCATACATAAATCGACATAGATATTATACATAAAAAATACTTATTTTTTAAAGTGAAAAACCATTAGTAACATTAAAATATGGTTATATTGTATACTTGCTTCATCCAGATGTAAAGCCAAAAAAGGACCTTGATTATTTGGGGGAGGAGAAAACTTGGGAAAAACTATTTATTTTTTAAGTTTTTAATAACACTATGCTAAAACTTCATATGGGACAGATATACAGAATATAGTCAATGTCTTCCATTAATTTAGTGATGCTTGACTTTAATTTTGTAAGCAATTAGACATGTAAACCAAAAAATAGTGTTAGCTGTAGTTTAAAATCTACTAGTAGTAGCCAACATTTATGATCCAACATAATTGTTGGATCTAGTTGTTGGCTACTAGATCCAACTACTAGTAGTTGGCTACTAGTAGTAGCCAACATTTGTGATCTATAGGAAGTATTCTAAATGGTTTTCATACATGTATTAATTTCTCAATAACCTTATTCCAAGCACACCTATTAGTCCCATTTTACAGAGGAAGAAACTGAGAGTTTATGTAATAAAAGAAGTTAGGTGAACTGACACCTTCTGACACTGAATGAAAGCATCCTTCCTATTAAATAATATTTAATCAGAAAATGGTTACAATAAATGATCAATAGCTAGGAATAAAGACAAAAAAGTATGTGTTCTCAAAGAGTAGATATACTAATAATTAAACGGAGGTTGTGAATTAAGCAATTACTTCTGATGAGTACAATCAGTAATAACAAACCAGGCAAATCTTATGAAAGTCTTATGAAAAGTTTGCAGGGCAGCAGCCCGCAGTTTTTCCTTTAACTTACGAAAGCCAAAAGTCAGTGGTGGGAAACATCTGGAACCAAACAAAAGACCTAATCTTTCTGTATGCAAGGGGCTTAATTTTTCATGAGAAACGATCTATTGTGAATAGAGGTAGCCTAGAAAGAACCTAAGATCTTGCCACTGGTACAAGAGTCCCTATAGTAAAGAAATGTTTAATGGCTCTTTCATTCCTTTTCTCTTTTATAAGTGTTCCTTCAGCACTTGATTTTGTTATGAATGTGGATTTGTCTATAATGTTGTTTGTTTTAAATTGCTCCAATTGTTATATACTATTCAGTTTGGACTTCTTGGAATTCTAAATATGTAAATTGCATTCCAAACAAACAGCAATACATCATTCACAGAGTAAAATCTCTACATGGAGAATGAGATTAACTCATTTTAGTGAGAGATAAGTTCATTAGGACACTTTGAAGGTTGTGGAATGTCTGGAGTTAAATGTATTTTCAAGTATTTTGAATTCAACCATTTAATTTAATTTAACTCAGTGCATATTTATTGAATAACTCCTATAAACAAGACATTCTGAGGATACATATAGTTACAAGTCACAAACATTAAGAAATTCAAGACTACAAAGTAGATGTGTCTGTTATTAAGTATAACAGAAGAAATAATGTAGTTAGTTCTCTGAACATAGAGGAGGGATAAATCAATTAGTATTAGGGGACTGAAGGGAGTTCATGCTTGGAACTGCAGCAGCCATTTTGTGACTGCAAAGGAGATATTACTGGCACACTTGAGAATAGCAGAGCAGAAGATAAGCAAGGGCCTGTGGGTCTTTGAAGACATCCTTGAGCTGCTAACCAATCCAGCCACTGCCTACCCCTGAATTTCTTGATTAGGAAGATGAAAAACTTGATTAAGATAATGCCATTTTTAGTCCGTCATTCAGTTCTTGCAGCTGAAATCACCCTACCTTTGGTGTTAGGGATCTGTTGGCTGGGCTATAACAATGGGTTGAACAAAGCTTGGGGGTTGTAATAAGAATAGAAAGGTGGGACCAAATGCAAAAAGAATAGAGAGGAATCTGCAACTTCAAACATTGTGGTTTGGAGAGAAGGAAGAGACAAACACATCTAAGTTTTAAGGTCTGATTGACTGTATGCATGACTGATATCAATAGGAATATGAGAAAAGGAATAGGTTTGGGAGCAGAAAGTAATAAATATAGTTTTGATGTTGAGATACAAAACAAAAAAAGTCTCTTATTAATTTTGCTAAATACTTTTGAAATAAATCATACAGTAGTTTATGATGAAATAAAATGGTAATATTTCCAATGGAGTTAAGTATGCCTTATTTACTCCATACTGAAGTGAAATTTATCCAAAGTTGAGTTTGACAGTGCAAAGAAAACACTGGCTACTTCTTATTGGCTGAAAAAAGGTAGATTGAATAAACATATTAATCTCTGTTTTCTCCTGAAACTTGATTAAATTGAGAGCAAAGCATAAACAAGCATCTAAATCTACAAGGGCAAAGAGAATGGACACCCTCTCTCAGTAGGCTACTGGAGCATGTTAACCAACACAATAAGGAAATGGCTCAGGAGGACGATGTGGGGCTCTGGAATCAGGGAACTGGACACAGGAAAGGGGTGAAGGAAATTCCTAGAATGGTGATGAAGGAAACCCTAGGATGACAACAACCAGCCTAACGAGCAGCAGCCGGTACCACCTGGAACAAAAGGTGCCAAGCAGGAGAAACTTATCTGAGGAAAAAGAGATCTTTTTAAAAAGGTAGATTTATCTGTCCTCTCATTTTCTGCTCACATGACTAGCTCTTTCTTGATCACAATCTAACTTCTGAGGAGGCTAGGAGTCTTCCCATGTACCCAGGAAGAAGAGAAGAACTAATGTGGTAAGCACCAGTAATCTTTACCAGGGTTTCCAAAGCTGAATAATCAAGTTACAGCCTTATGAGCTTAGATGGAAATATGGAGGTAGCTAGCAGGAGAATAAGCCAGGAGTTGAAGGAGATTGGTCTGGGGCCTTGGAATCAGCAGTAGGGAAAAAAGAAACCAGAAATTTCTGTAGAATTTATTGTAATAGCCTACCAAAGTGATGTGATCTTTTAAACGCATAATGTTACAGCAGTCACCTCTGCTGAAACCTGTATTCAATAAATTCTAACTCTCCACTCAGCTGCCACTAAGTCTAGTGATTCAGCTTAAATGCTGATCTCCCCTCCCTGGGCTAAATCTTAGTAAAGTAGACTAAACAATGGAGAACACAGCTCAGGGATACAGGAAGGATTTGCTCTCTGAAAACAGCTCAGCCACAGTCTCCCTTGGTGTGGTGACAAAAAACCACTTTAAGCACTTTAAATCTCTATTCAAAACTATCACTTACCTATTTTATCACAGTATTCTGGCCGGTGTAAATACGCCTGGAAAGCAAATCAGCACCAGTTTGAGTTGGATGATACTCTACTAAGTCATTGCTAGATTCTTGGGAATATAAGAAAACCAAATTTTACACAATTAAATGTTAAATTACACATGAACAAAGTCTGTTTGACTTTTTAAAAGAAATAAATAACACTTGGAAAGTTGTTCTCATCTGTGAAAGTATATTAAAAGGCTGTCAAAAAGAAAAATGGAGGATTTCAAATATAAATATTATCTACTGATACTATTTTGCCAAATAGATATTGAAAATTATAGAGGTAGAATGCACCTGAAGAGTCAACCAGTCCAACTCTCTTGATTTATAGATCAAGAGGCCCAGGGAGGAAAAGTGACTTGTTTGAAACACAAAACTATTTATGGAAAAGCAGGGAAGAAAACCCAGGCTACCTGTCAATCGATTGTCAATCTGCATGAAATGCTGGCTGCAATGGCCCAACCTATACGCTATTGCTGAGCTGGAGAATAGGACTCCTGACAAAAAGGGCTCACAAAGGTGGACATTTCAACCAGGCAGCAGGTGAAGTGCAGAACAAGTGCTGCGTTAATGCACCGCATACAATGCAACTGGGACTTGTGTGTCAGGAGGAAACTTCACAGGGTTTTCAAAAGGAGTAAAGTGCTTGGGAGCTTGTTTTAAAGGGTCAGAAAGCTCCTGCCTATTTTCTGTTCCTTTCATGTGCACAGTAAAAGAACAGAAGTATTCTATTTCCGCTGTAGGTTTTTCAGTGTGAGACCAAGAAAGCTATTGATGCGAAACTGCTCTTTGGTGACATCGTGCTTCAACAAGTCATCCCCAGTGCAACCCAGGATGATGGCCATTTGCACTTCCTTTTTAGGCATCTGACATCAGCTTCAAGAAGTCTCTCCCCATATGTAAGTTTCAAGTGTTGCCTGTAGACAGGTTTTAATAAAGGAAGTCAGCAGTTACAATGTATGTGTATACTTTACACTCCTTTTCCAACATACCCACTTCAAGCCTAACTCTAGACCTTGGATTTCTCCCTCCCTCTGTGTCCTAAAGCATAGAAAAAAAAAAAAAAGCATTCATCTTTGTTATGTATCAGAAGGTTCGTTGCCCTTGTCTACCAGTTTCCTTTTCATTCAATAAATAATTGTGTGTTCTGATATTTGCCTTAAATTTCCTGGTTTTTGGGAATGTTTCATTGTTAAGGGTTTCCCTTCACTTCCGAGGCAAATGAGCTTACCTTAGTCCATTAAGATTGTCATTTTGTCTAAGGACCATGGGCAAAGTCTGACAGGTAGTGTTTCAGTCTTATCTCTGTCTGATCAGAAGAGGAAGTCTTGCTAGTCCCTCTTTAGTCTGAAACTGATTATTGTCCTCACAACTACACAAAAGGAGCTGCAGTTCTTTCCACACCTGAAGGCATTTGAAGTGCAATCTGCATGGTACTTACAAACTCTGCTAAAAGGAACGGTTGACTATTTTCCTAATCTGCCTGTTTGCATTCATAGGCATTAAGAATGCACAGTAAACAAGCTAAAGTGCAGACGCTTTCACAGGTTTCTGTTGGACAATAACAACCACCGGTAACGAAGAGGACAAGAATCTGTTTACAAATGTGTATTTCATCAGGCAACACCTGCTCTAAAATGGCCAGAGCCTGCCATTTCCACAAATGTGGACTAAAATGAACATACCTGAAAAAAAGATTTTTCACCTTCTAATATAAAATATTCTGTCTTCATTTCAAAGGTGTAATGTATAGTATACAATAAGGTGGTAATAATCTTAAAGTGACCGATGGTTAGAGAAATTGGTTAACGGACTTCTATTGGATTTATAAAAGGGAAAGAGTTTTGCCTCTCTCTGATGCTTAGTTGGTGTTTCCAATTGAAATTTGAGATGAATTAGAGTTGAATGAATTTCCCTTCAGCACTATGATTTTATTATTGTACACATTTCTGTTTTAGATATGTTTAAATATAAACATTAAATATAAACATAGTTCTGTTTAAATATAAAAATTTGTGGAATCCTTAATTAGAATCTCAGTAGATAAAGCCTGAGAATCAATGTTTATATCATGCTGCACAGGTGACTGTGATTCATAGCTTCTGAACACTCCAACATTCATCACTGGTTTTGTGCCACACCCTTGATGGTTTGAGATGGTTAAGTGCTTGAAAGAAAGATGTTCTGCTATTCACTGAACATATATTGGAAGCTTTTAGAGTCCAGGTAAATTTTTTAAAAGTTGAAATTTTGTAATGGAAACAAATTAGCCTGAATTATATCTTTGTTATAGAAGCAGTTACAGAATGGACCAAACATTTTCTAAGGAATATTTCTTTAGGGATTTCCTCAAATATTTAAGCAAACATTCCAAAGTTATGTACCAGAAAGCATATAACAATTTACCTTGGCCTGGAAAACCTTTATGGCTATGGTAACCAATCATGTAACTCCAATATAAAAAGCTTTGATAAGGTTCCTATAAACAGCTTAAATTTTGTGTAGGAATATGCTTAAAAGATGAAATAGCATGTTGAATAAAGTTGTTTAGAATTGTCATACAAATACTAAATTATATCTTCTTAAAACAATTATTTAGATTTTATAGTTTTTACATTAAAATCTTACTTCTAAAATAAATTAATAAAAGAAATAATCTATCATGTTCAGTTTCCTCTTCAGGGCTCTTTATAATATTGTCACACTGACAGGTTAGAGGAAGATTTATATCTCTGGTGTGTTAATGGCTGGAGGACTTTTATTCAATACTTCTCATTGACTTATTCATAAGTTCAACAAAAATGTGTTGTGAACCTTCTATGTGCCAAACTGTTAAATGTTCTGGGATTGCAGTAAGTAAATACAACCAATATCACCTGTGCTTCCCTTAGTGCGCTGGAAGAATTGAATATATCTGACTTGGATTTTCAGATTCTAGGATCAAAGGTTGTTTTCTCAAAAGTTTATTTATATTAATTTCTTACAAACATATTACAAAAAAGGCTTTGAAGGAGTCTTAAAATAATGAAATCTATTAAACTCAATCTATATATGGCTCCTCTCTGAGGAGGTGGTGTCTCACAATAAATGAACAAATTTTGCAGAAAAATGTAAATTGTTCTAAGTAATCTTGCTAATTAGGTAAAACAAGACACAGAAATTAACAAGAACAAAAGAATTGTGTATAGACCCTACCTGTTTCTCACGTAGGATGCTAGATTTATTGATTCAGACGTGCATTTTTTAGAAGTAAGATGCTTTAGGAATTTATGGATTATTTAGATTAAGTGTACCTAATAGAATTAGCAAATCTAATTAACAAACATTCAGAGTCTACAATCATCAGGTGACTATCATAAAGCTTTATCAGTGGAAACAACTTGATAAGTTGGAATAGAAATATTTTAAAAGTGTTTTCATTTATTCAATGGATATTTATTCACCTTCCACTATAAGCCATGTAATATACTTAGGTAATAGGAATATAAAAATAAAGAGAGTCCTTCCCTCAAGGACTTTACAGACTAGTAATGTCCCTAATAGAAGAAGATTTCATTTATCTATTTATCTATTCCTACATACATGTTTTAATAAAGTGCTATGAAAGAAATATGTACTGAGTATAAAGAAGTCCAAAGTGGGTGACAATATGGGTATGTAGCCTCACAGAAGTTACCAGTTACCCTTGCGTGCATGTACCCTAGAACTTAAAGTATAATAATAAAAAAAAAGAACAGGGGGCTCTGTTAAAAAAAAAAAAAAAAAAAACCAAGTAGTACATGTTTAACAATCAAGCTAACATGGAACTGAGGTTCTCAGCAGAGAAGAGGTGTGAGAAGCATGTTTGGGCAATGAAAACTAGTAAGTTTTTCTGGAAGGTAAGATTTAAATGGGATCATTAGGAATGATGGATCTGGAGGAGGTGCCAACATACAAGAAGGGGAGGAAGAGACAAGTGCCCAATAAGCTGAGCCTCTTTGTCTATTGAGACCATCATTGAAATCAAAAGCAGTGCAGATGGAGAGTCTGAGAAGAAAAGCATAAAGGAACTTCCAGGAGGCTGAAAACCTGAACAGATCTACTGTCAATATCATAATGCTGGAGATATAAAAATTGGACTTCATAAACTATCAGGGAAGGGGAGCCTTGGTAAACATCCAGAGCTTTCAGCTGGGAACCCAAAAGGACTACTCAGTAACAGCAAATTAAAAATACAGACAAGGCCTTACAAGACTGGAAGGTAGTCTTAAATTGGCTCAATTCCTGATTAAAGTAATATATACCTAAATTAAATGCCTGTGATTAATCAAACAAAATCCTTCATGGAAGAAAATAATAACAGTTAGAGATCTGGATTTTTTTATAAACAATGTCTGAATTTTAATAAAAAATTACCAAGCAAACCAAGAGACAACAAGGAGTGAAGAAAAAGAAAACAATAGAAGCTGGTTCACAGGGAATCCAGGTATTAGAAAATTTTATATCTATGATTACTATGGTCAAGAAAATAGATGGCAAGAGTGATAACTTCATCAAAGAACTTCTGTCTACAAGAAAGCATCAAATGGAAATTCTAAACTGAATAAAACCAAAATTGAATTAAGAAGACAAAAGGTGGATAAGACAGCAGATTGGTCACAGTTGCAGAGTATTCATTATCTAGAAAGCAGATTAATGGAAAATATCTAGAATAAAAAATAGAAAAAAACAGAAAAGATCATAGGAGACATATGAAAACTGGCAATATCATAGTCTGGCAGTTTGTTTCTATTGTCTTTTTTTTCTCTTCCTACTGTCTCTTGGTTTGCCTTATAATTTTCTATTAAAACCAAGAAATTGTATATGAAAAATTCCAGAATCTCTGAAAGGTATTATTTTCCTTCATGAAGGATTTTGTTTGATTAAAGGTAAGTAGTTAATGTAGGTATACATTATCTGAATCTAATGAGGGATTGAGCCAATACAAGACTGCCTTCTAGTCTCTTACATAATGAAAAGGAACAACATGAATATAATTGGAGCCCCAGAAAAGAAGGAGGTAGAAAAGAGTACAGAAACAAAACTGAAGAAAGATATCAAATAAAATATTCAAGAAAACTTACAAACTCAATATGAAAAGTACAAAAAAATCCCATCTAGGCACTTTATAATAGAACTTCTGAAAAATTAAACACAAGAGAAAAGTTTTAAAAGCAGTCAGAGAAAACTACATATTACCTCAAAAACAACAATTAACATTTCTCATAAAGCAATAGAAATCAGAAGAAAAGAAATGACATACTCCAACTGCTATAAGAAAACATCTGCCACCATAAAGTAAAGCTCTTTAGAAAATGCAGGTTAGATAAAGACATTTCAGGCAAATAAAAATTGAGAGCATTTGTCACCAACAGAGACTCTCTAAAAGAAAACTAAAAGGAGTTTTTCAGTTAAAGGGAAATGATCTCTGACTGAAGATTAAAAATGCATAAAAGAATAAAGTATGCAAGTAGACGAAGTTTGTTATTCTATGGGAAGCTGGAATTCTGAGAGAAAATCCATAGTCTTTCTAGTGTGAACAACCAAGACAAAGTTCCAGGCAACCATAGCCACTGGCAAATTAGAAAGAAATCCCATAAATAAAAAACCAGAGAGGGGAACCCCAAATTCTGTCTATAAACTCTGCCCAAGTTTCCGAGTGACCCTTGAACCACACATGAACCAACAAAATAATGTATGGATAGATTCTGGATAAGAATAAAATAATTGTTTTGGCATATTTCAAGAATTTGTTTCAAGATTTAAGGCTCCTTTTAGCAGTTCTTGTAGTGCTGGCTTGGTAGTGGTGAATTCTCTTAATATTTTTTTTATCTGCAAATGACTATATCTTTTCTTCATTTATGAAGCTTAGTTTCACTGGATATAAAATTCTTGAGTGATAATTGTTTTGTTTAAGGGCCCCAATTTCTGGAAATATATAACCCTCCTAGATTGAACCAGGAAGAAATAGAAACTCTGAACAGACCAATAATAAGCAGTGAGATTGAAATGGTAATAAAAAAATAGCCAACAAAAAAGTCCAGGACCAGACAAATTCACAGCTGAATTCTATCAGACATTAAAAGAACAATTGGTATTAATTCTGTTGACACTATTCCACAAGATAAAGAGGGAATCCTCCCTAAATCATTCTATGAAGCCAGTATCACCCTAATACCAAAACCAGGAAAGGACGTAACAAAAAAAGAAAACTACAGACCAATATACCTGATGAATATAGATGCAAAAATCCTTAACAAAATACTAGCTAACCGAATCCAACAGCATATCCGAAAGATAATCCACCATGATTCAGTGGGTTTCATGCCAGGGATGCAGGGATGGTTTAACATACATAGGTCAATAAATGTGATACACCACATAAACAGAATTAAAAACAAAAATCACATGATCATTTCAATAGATGCAGAAAAAACATTTGACAAAATCTAGCACCACTTTATGATTAAAACCCTCAGCAAAATCAGCATAGAAGGGACATACCTTAAGGTAATAAAAGCCATCTATGACAAATCCACAGCCAACATAATACTGAATGCGGAAGAGTTGAAAGTGAGAGGTGACGGCGTGCTGGGAGTCCTCACAGCCCTCCCTCGCTCTCGGCGCCTCCTCTGCCTGGGCTCCCATTTTGTCAGCACTTGAGGAGCCCTTCAGCCCACCGCTGCACTGTGGGAGCCCCTTTCTAGGCTGGCCAAGGCCGGAGCCGGCTCCCTCAGCTTGCAGAGAGGTGTGGAGGGAGAGGCGCGAGCGGGAACTGGGGCTACGCGCGGCGCTTGCGGGCCAGCTGGAGTTCCGGGTGGGCGTGGGCTTGGCGGGCCCCGTGAGCAGCCGGCCGGCCCTGCAGCCCTGGGCAATTAGGGGCTTAGCACCCGGGCCAGCGGCTGCGGAGGGTGTACTGGGTCCCCCAGCAGTGCCAGCCCGCCGGCGCTGCGCTCGATTTCTCGCCGGCCTTAGCTGCCTTCCCAAGGGGCAGGGCTGGGGACCTGCAGCCCACCGTGCCTGAGCCTCCCACCGGCTCAGTGGGCTCCTGTGCGCCGGGAGCCTCCCGATGTGCGCCGCTCCCTGCTCCACGGAGCCCAGTCCCATCGACCACCCAAGGGCTGAGGAGTGCGGGCGCATGGCGCGGGATTGGCAGGCAGCTCCACCTGCAGCCCCAGTGCGAGATCCACTGGGTGAAGCCAGCTGGGCTCCTGAGTCTGGTGGGGCCTTGGAGAACCTTTGTGTCTAGCTCGGGGATTGTAAATACACCAATCGGCACTCTGTATCTAGCTCAAGGTTTGTAAACAATCAGCACCCTTTGTCTAGCTCAGGGTTTGTGAATGCATCAATCAACACTGTATCTAGCTACTCTGGTGGGGCCTTGGGAAACCTTTGTGTCTAGCTCAGGAATTGTAAATACACCAATGGGCACTCTGTATCTAGCTCAAGGTTTGTAAACACAGCAATCAGCACCCTGTGTCTAGCTCAGGGTTTGTGAATGCACCAATCAACACTATCTAGGTACTCTGGTGGTGCCTTGGGGAACCTTTGTGTCTAGCTCAGGGATTGTAAATGCACCAATCAGCGCCCTGTCAAAACAGACCACACGGCTCTACCAATCAGCAGGATGTGGGTGGGGCCAGATAACAGAATAAAAGCAGGCTGCCCCGGCCAGCAGTGGCAACCCTTTCCGGTCCCCTTCCACACTGTGGAAGCTTTGTTCTTTTGCTCTTTGCAATAAATCCTGCTGCTGCTCACTCTTTGGATCCACACTGCCTTTATGAGCTGTAACACTCACCACGAAGGTCTGCAGCTTCACTCCTGAGCCAGCGAGACCACGAACCCACCAGAAGGAAGAAACTCTGAACACATCTGAACATCAGAAGGAACATACTCGGACACGCCACCTTTAAGAACTGTAACACTCACCACGAGGGTCTGCGGCTTCATTCTTGAAGTCAGTGAGACCAAGAACCCCCAATTCCAGACACAAAAGCATTCCCCCTGAAAGCTAGACAAGACAAGGATACTCTCTCTCACCACTGTTATCTAACATAGTACTGGAAGTCTACAGATGCCTACTCTCATGACTTCTATTCAACATAGTACTTCAAGTCCCAGCCAGAGCAATCAGACAAGAGAAAGAAATAAAAGACATCCAAATTGGTAAACAATTTACCTCTCACCATTTGCTGTTGATATGATTGTATACCTAGAAAACCCTAAAGACTCCTCCAAAAAGCTCCTAGAACTGATAAATGAATTCAGCAAAGTTTCAGGATACAAAATTAATGTGCACAAATCAGTAGCTCTGCTATACACCAACAGCGACTAAGCTGAAAATCAAATCAAGAACTTAACGTCTTTTACAATAGCTGCAAAAAAATAAAACACGTAGGAATATATCTAACTAGGGAAGTGAAAGACCTCTGTAAGGAAGACTACAAAACACTGCTAAAAGAAATCATGGATGACACAAACAAATGGAAACACATTTCATGCTCACAAATGGGTAGAATCAATATTGTGAACATGAGCACACTGCCAAAAGCAATCTACAAATTCAATGCAATTCCCACCAAAATACAATCATCATTCTTCACAGAACTAGAAAAAACTATTCTAAAAGTGAAATGGAACCAAAAAAGAGCCCACATAGCCAAAGCAAGATTAAGCAAAAAGAACAAATCTGGAGGCATCACATTACCTGACTTCAAACTATACTATAAGACCACTGAAACAACATGGTATAAACATGTTGTATACATGGTATAAAATACATGGTATAAAAATAGACATGTAGACCAATGGAACAGAATAGAGAACCCAGAAATAAAGCCAGACACTTAACAGTCAACTTATCTTAGACAAAGCAAAGCGAAACAAAGTGGGGAAAGGGCACCCTATTCAACAAATGGTGCTGGGATACTTGGCAAGCCACATGTAGAAGGATGAAACTGGATCCTCATCTCTCACTTTATACAAAAATCAACACCAGATGGATCAAAAACTTAAATCTAAGACCTGAAACCATAACAATTCTAGAACATAACTTTGAAAAAATCCTTCTAGACATTGGCTTAGGCAAAGACTTCATGACCAATAACCCAAAAGCAAATGAAACAAAAACAAAGATAAATAGATGGGACTTAATTAAACTACAAAGCTTCTGCTTAGCAAAAGAAATAATCAGCAGAGTATACAGAAAACCAACAGAGTGGGAGAAAAATCTTCACAATCTATACTTCCCACAAAGGATTAGTATCCAGAATCTATGAAGAACTCAAACAAATCAACAAGAAAAAAATAAACAATACTATCAAAAAGTGGGTTAAGGACATGAATAGATAATTCTCAAAAGAGGATATACAAACAGCCAAAAAACATACGAAAAAATGCTCAACATCACTAATGACTGGGGAAATGCAAATCAAAACCACAATGTGATACCACCTTACACTTGGAAAAATGGCCATAATAAAAAAAAATAATAAAATAGATGTTGGCATGGATGTGGTGAAAAGGTAACCTTTTTTTCTTTCTTTTTTTTTTTTGAGATGGAGTCTTGCTCTGGAGTGCAGTGGTGCGTGTGATCTTGGCTCACTGCAACCTCCGCCTCCCAGGTTCAAACAATTCTTATGCCTCAGGCTCCTGAGTAGCTGGGATTACAGACATACGTCACCAGGCCTGGCTAATTTTTGTATTTTTAGCGGAGACAGGGTTTCACCACATTGGCCAGGCTGGTCTTGAACTCCTGATTTCAGGTGATCTGCCCGCCTCAGCCCCCCAAATTGCTGGGATTACAGGTGTCAGCCACCATACCTGGCCAAAAATGTAACACTTTTACACTGCTGTTGGGAATGTAAACTAGTACAACCACTATGGAAAACAGTGTGGAGATTCCTTAAAGAACTAAAAGTAGAACTATCATTTGATCCAGCAGTCCCACTACTGGGTATCTGCCCAGAGGAAAAGAAGTTATCATATGAAAAAGATACTTGCAGAAATATGTTTATAGCACCACAATCCACAATTGCAAAAATATGGAAGCAGCCCAAATGCCCATCAATCAATGAGTGGATAAAGGAATTGTGATATATATAAACACCATGGAATACTATGCAGCCATAAAAAGGAATGAAATAATGGCATTCACAGCAACCTGGATGGAATTGGAGACTGTTATTCTAGGTGGAGCAACTCAGGAATGGAAACCCAAATATCGTATGTTTTCATTCATAAGTGAGAGCTAAGCTATGAAGAGGCAAATGCATAAGAATGAATCAATGGACTTTGGAGACTTGGGAGAAAGGGTGTTAGGTGGTGAGGGATAAAAGACTACACATTGGCTGAGCATGGTGGCTCATGCCTGTAATCTCAGCACTTTGGGAGGCCAAGGCTCACTTGAGACCAGGAGTTCAATACCAGCCTGGCAAACATGGGGAAATTCCATCTCTACTAAAAATATAAAAAGTTAGCTGGGCACAATGGCACATGCCTGTACTCCCAGCTACTCAGAAGGCTGAGGCATGAGAATTGCTTGAATGTGGGAGGCAGAGGTTGCAGTGAGCCAAGATCACACCACTGCACTCCAGCCAGGGCAATAGAGCAAGGCTGTCTAAAAAACAAGACTACATAATTTTTACAGTGTGCACTGCTCGGGTGATAGTTGCACCAGAATCTCAGAAATCACCATTAAAGGACTTATTAATGCAAATGAACACCACCTGTTTCCCAAAAGCCTATTGAACTAATAAATAAATTAATTAAAATGTGCAAAAAAAGTCTAGAATGAAAAAAGAATAAAAGAGCTGATTTGAGATTTACATTGTGACCCAAAAGACAGAATATGATGTTTGAGTCCAATCGGTTAATTGTCTAATAAAACATTCTTGAAGGATGAGTAAAACAGATTTTACAGTCTCCACAAGATAACATTCACATTGCCATAGATATAACAGATGTATCTCATTATCTACAGAACCAGGAAAATATGACTCATTCATAAGAGAAAATGTTATTAATGGAGACTAACCCTGAGATGATCCAAATGTTGGAATTAGAAGACAAATATTTAAAACAGCAACTGTAACTGTGCTCTAGGATATAAAGGAAAGTATACTGACAATCAATGAAAGCATGGGAAATATCAGTTAAGAAATAGAAACTATTAACAAAAACAGGACTAAGTGCAAATTATAAAACTCAAGAATACAGTATCTAAACTAAAGACAAACAAAAAGAAACACTGGACAAGCTTAACAGCAGAGTAAAGACAACAATAGAAAGAAACAGAGATTCACTGTTCACAGCAACCTGGATGGAATTGGAGACCATTATTCTAAGTGAAGTGACCCAGGAATGGAAAGTATACTTACAATCAGATTCAGAAAATAGAGCAATAAAAATTATCCAACCTGAAGAACAGAGAGAAAATAATAAAAAAAAAATGAATAGCCTTCCAAGGGAGTGATGGGATGATTTCAAAAGATCTAACAAATGATCATTGGAATCTCAAAAAAAAGAGATACTGGGATAAAAAAAAAGTGGCCAAAACCTCCCCAAATGTAGTGAAAGTCATAAATTCAGGAAGTCCAGTGAACTGCAAGCAGGACAACTACAAATAAAACCATATTTAGCATCTAGGACAGTCAGAGTCAAACTGCTAAATATCAAAGACAGACTCTTGAAAGCAGCTAAAGATAAATAACACATTACATATTGAGGAACATCAATTTGAATTATCACTGCCTTCAGAAACTATGGAGAATAGAAGACAGTACAACATGTTCAAAGTGCAGAGAGAGAAGCTGCCAACCAGAATTTTATATGCAACAAAAATATCCCTTGAGAATAAAGGCAAAATAAAGATATTTTCAGATATAAGAAAGCTAAGAAAACTCATTACTAGAAGACCTGTCATATAAGATATAGCAAAAATAAGCTCTTTAGACTGAGAAGAACTACCACATTATATCTTCAGGAAGGAGGGAAGCATTAAAAAGGTAAATATCTGAGAAAATAAAACATTGTTTTTCCTTTAATTTCTGTATAAAACACAGGACTGTTTAAAACAAAATTAAAACATATTTTTGTGGATTTATAATGTATGTAGACTTAAATATATGACAACTATGGCAAGTTGTCATATATCCTTACAAAAGAGTAAGGATAAATTGACCTATATTGTTGCAATTTCTGTCCTTTAATTGAAATAGTACAATATTGACTATAAGTAGAATGTAAAAGTCAAGAATGTATATTGTAATCACTACAGCAACCCATAAAATAATGCAAAGAACTTAAAAATCAGTATACAAGTTGAAATGAAATTCTAAAAATTATTCAAATTATCCAAAAGAAGGAAGAAAAGGAGAAACAGGAGAATCAAACAAACAGAAAACAAATAATAAAGTGGTATACATAAATCCAATCACATCAGTAATTGTGACAAATGCAAATAGACTACATACTCCAACTAACAGGCAGAGATTATCAAAATAGACTAAAAATCTCCACTGTATACTGCCTACATGAGACAGACTTTAAATATAATAACACATCTAGGTTGGAAGTTAATATAAAAAATATGCCTTGCAAATAGAAGGCATCAGAAAACTAGAGAGACTATTCTAATATCAGAAATTATGAACTTCAAGACAAATAGTATTACCAACAATAAAAAGGGATATTTCATAATGATTAAAATTTCAACTTATCAGAAAGATATAATAATAATAAATATGCATGTGCTCAGCAACAGAAATAAAAAATACATAAGACAAAAATGACAGAATTAAGGGAAGCAATGAATAATTCTGCAATCATAGTTGGAGATTTTAATATTCCTTTACTGGCAACTGATGAGTGACTAAAACAAAAAATAATCAGTAAGGCCATAGATAATTCGATCAGCAGTATTAACTTGACCTACATAGTATTTATATAATACTATACCCAGTGACCTTTAAAAGTGCTGATAATTTTTTTTCCTTATTTAAATACGGTTACATGAGTATGTCCACTTTGTTAAAATTCGTTGAGTTGTACCGTTATTTTGTACTTGTATGTTTTACAATTTGATTTATTAAAATTCTATACACTGGCAGTAACATACCAAATCGATTGGTAGGAAAAAAATAACACTGGAAGCAGGAAGGCCAATAGGTGTTATTCCAGCAGATAGTGTGAGAGATGAAGGAATCAAATCTGTGCAGATACTGAGGGAGGTAGAACTGACAATGTGTTTTAACCCATTTGATGTGGGAGGTCTCAGCAAGGGGAGAACCAAAGATGACCTTAGGGCTTCAGACTTGGGAGATATGTCCGTTTTGGGCTGTTCCCCAATGCAGAGGATGCAAGAGGAGAGCAGTTTGAACAGTGATGTGGATCACTCTGAATTAAACCCTGAATTACAAAAGTCATTCATTAGATTTACTCCTTAGTTTGATTGTTGCCAGGCCCATTCTGCGATTTATAACTTTTGCCCAGTTTTCAGAAACCGAATACAGAATGAAAGATTAAAATATATTTCAGGGTTAAATGATTGATAATGTGTGCCAAAAATGTTTATTACCTTATTCTTACTATCACTTACTAACTTTCCCATATCTTTTACAATGCTTTATACAATTTATTTCTACCAGACATGCAACAATTAAAGATTCACTTATGATCAATATTGGATATAAAGATAGTGAGAAGAAAATGTAAATTCAAAGAAAGACTATTTTATATCTACAGCTGCCTTCCTAAACACGAATTAAAAATATGTCCAAAGGAGGATTTCTTGGAAAAAGCTATACAAATGAATAATTTGCCTTTTTGAAACATAATTTAAAAACACACAAACAAAAAGAGCTTAAGAATACAAACTTGTAGTTTTTAAATCACTTTCTTGGTCTTAAAGATTCATCTTTTTAATGAACAAATTTATAGAAAATCACCATCTCTTAAGCATAATGTATATAAAGTATTTGAAGTAATAAGCAGAAACTATAAACATAATAAAATCCTTGGGTTTGGGATTGTTCTGCATTCTATCAAACAGTAATTTATTATAAGAATCTTTTCTGAGTATCATTTTTCTTTGAATGAAATGATTTCAAAAAATTACTGGTAACCTAGTTTTCAGAACACTTCCCATCCTATTCCAAAGATACGATTTTTTAAATTCTGAAAACAGCACATAACAATTCACATAAACATAGACCCCCAGGGGCAAAGTGCAAAAATATATTAGGAGAGAACTGCAAGGACATACCAAGCAGACAGTGCTTTTGAATAGAGAAATAGAAGCTCTCTTCACAAAGAACCGAGGGGATCTATTTGTGGTTTCATATACACATTTTAAAAGCCCCCAATTGTGGTTTCAGTATCAAAATAATGAAGTGTCAATGGCATTTCTCCTCAGAGTAAAGAATTAATTAAACAACCTCTATAATGATCTGGCTTTTATTAGTGCTATTTCTGACATGAGACCCTTTTACCTTGGTTCTGAATTACATGAATCCTTGTGAATGCTTTTATTATAAATACTCATTTTGCTTCCTCATATGTGATATGAGTTTCTATGATCATAGGATCACAATTATCCTGTTACTCCTTTCAGAGAATTTGTATAGCTCCTTTGATAAGAGAAACTCAAAGCATGTTGCAAATACACCATTTACCCCAGCCAATATGAATCACTGCCCTTATTTTAGAAGAATAGCATTACCACCTTTCAGACAAATTGTCAGGCAAAGGGAAGTCTTAAATCATACCTAAGGACAAGCTACAAGGATAGCAAGAGGACTAAATTCTTTTAATCAAGTAATCAAGAAATCAAGTAATTTTTCCATGATCAAATATGCCTTGCTTTATGTAATAGATGAGCTACCTTAAAGATTCTTAAAATGAATTGTTTTCAAGTCAAATCATACTTTAATCATTTTAAAGACTCATTCCATATCAATGAATCCTGTTAGCAAGATTCATTCCATAGCAATGAATCTTGTTAATTACAGCCATTGAATTTTCAAATGGGAGAATAAAATATATACAATGCATTTTAGAGAAAAATTACTTTGAATATTCCAGGGAAGACCCACATTTGTAATTTGTCTGAAACATTGTACAAGAGTCATACAATCAAACCATTATAGAAGCCATCAGGAAATATAACCACAAAGAATGAGGTTTGGTATAAGACAATAAGGGCAGGGGGCGGGTCACTGAGGCCCACATGCAAGGGCATGCCGCATTTAAAGGAGCAACTAACTGCTGCTTAGCTCTCAAATGGTCTGTGCATGGCATTTCGGAAGGCAAGCTTATTTTAAGACAGTATCTCCTGACTTTTAAAGATACAATGGAAACTCATGAGTTCCTGAAAATTTTCTGATGTCCTAAATCAAAATCTTCTAAAATCTTGGACAGACCAGACAAAATATGCTGACTAAATTATAACTGTAGGGCACCAAATTGTTATCTTTATACAGTAACACAGTGTGAAAAATGCAGCCACTCAGAAGTTAACCTTAAGATCATGACAATGAAAAGAAATCCCAAGAGGTCACTGGCCCAGATCTTCTATGTAGGCAAGTCTACACTAAAACTATTGATGATGCTTATATGGCCAATGAATACTCACTGTAGCTATCAACTCATGCCATACATTATGCTATGTGGAAGAGAAATGACATTGAACAGGACGTAGTCCTTCTTTTGAGGAGGTTGGGGATTGGTGTCATCCTCTGCCAGTTTTATGTTTCCAAGTGGCATATGGGCACTCCATTAAGATAATACTCCTGGATTCTGGTCCCATCTCCTTACTCTCCTCTCTCAAGATGTAAGAATGACTTCCTTGATTGGAGAGTTTCTGAGAAGGGACCTGGAAGTATGTAGGTTGGTGCTACGGTCTGAATGTTTATGTCCCCCCCAAATTCATATGTTGAAATCGAATCCCCATTGTGATCATATTTGGAGGTGGGACCTTGGAAAGTGACTGGGTCATGAGGGTAGAGCCCTCATTAATGAGATTAGTGCCATTGTAAAAGAGGCCCCAGAGAGAGCCCTTGCCTCATCCACTATATGAGGACATAGCGAGATGGCACCATCTATGAATCAGAAAGTAGACCCTCACCAGACACCAAATCTACTGGAGCCTTGATTTTGGGCTTTCCAGCTTCCAGAACTGTGAGAAATAAATTTGTGCTGTCTATAGGCCACTTGTATTTTGTTTTAGCAGCCCACACAGATGAAGACAGTTGGCTTCTTCTCTGTCTTAGGTATTCAACTTCCCACTGTCATCATCTGCTCTTGGCCTAACAGTATGCATGGCATTTTGAATATAACCAGTTCAAGGGAGAGTTTGTCCCATTTGTCCTCATGTAAGCCATGTTCTGCAATATAGTTTTAAAGGTCAAAAATTGAGGACAGAAAAGTTTGACTCCTCTGTCTCCTTTTCTCTGTGGTCCCAAGCTGAGGTGAGATAAAAGAATGTTAACACTGAGTTTAATCAAAATCTCAACAATTCCTCTAGAACATAAATGGTAGTGGGCAATGCTGATCACTGTGGTAAGGAAAATATATTATGCTATGAGAGCACATAGGAGAGAGACCTTAACCAGGATTCAGGGAGTCAGAAAAGGTCTATGCAAAAAGCATGAAGAATAATTATACGTTTATCCAGGTAAAGGCACAAGCAAGTGTGCAAAAACTGTGTTCTTGGAAGAGGAAACATCATGCACAGAGGCACTGGGGTCAGCATGGCAGAATGGAGAAACCAACAATAGCTCAATAGAGTGAGAATGTAGACGACAGGAAAGGAGAGGAAAAGGAGTGAGGCTGGAAGAGCCAGCCAGTTCTAAAGGATCCCATAAGCCATATGTAGGAATCTCGCTTTCTGAGGAAAAAGAAGGATGCCTCTGAAGAGATTTAGTTGAAAAGTCACATAGTTAGATTTGTAGTTTTTCTTAGTCTGTTTGAGCTGTTATAACAAAAAACCATAAACTGGGTGGCTTATAAATAACAAACAGGTACGTCATCATGTGGTGGAAAGAGAAAGCAAACTCCCTTGGGCCTCTTTTATAGAGGCACTTATCCCATCCATGAGGACTCTGCCCTTGTGACCTGATCATCTCCTAAAGGACCTACCTCTTCATACTATTTGCACAGGGGATTTGATTTCAACATATGAATTTTAGAGAGATGCAGACCATAGCATGTTTTTAAGATAGCCTAAGAAAAAGGAAATCTCACTCTGCCCACAATGTTATAAATGGGTTGCAAGCGGCAAGCCTGGAAAGAGATGGACTAATTATTATTGCAAGAATCCAGGCAATAAGTGAAGGTTCCTATTCCAGGAATAAGAGAGATTCAAGAGGTATATAGGAAAATTAATCATCAGGTCTCAGGTGAACTTATGACTTCAGAACAAAAAGGTCCTAAGATCCAAGCAGCGTCCCCACACTGCCCCCTTCCCCCAGTTGCTAGCACTCAATTTGCCTCCAATGCTAAAGCCAGCTGCTAATCTAACTCAAAATCTGTTCTCTCTCAGCTTTGTCAGAGCTAGCAACGCACTTGGACTGACAGCATTCCTCAGGGTTCTCAGTGGTGCTACAAACAGTTGAGTCTCTTGCAGCTCCTCCTCAGGCATCCTAGGCCGGGTAGTCCACCCCAGCCTCTGCTGTGGGTCGCATTAGCCTGCACCGTGACCAGCCAAGGGCTCCCAACTTAACCCCTAGGTCCTCCTGGGGCAGGATGTGCACTGGAGCAGGAGGAAGTTTTAGATCTCATCCATACCACCCAAGAATTCAGAGTGGCCAAAAAGTGAAGTTCACAGCCCATTAAAATCACT
The DNA here is from genome assembly GCF_000001405.40 of Homo sapiens. Taxonomy (NCBI): domain Eukaryota; kingdom Metazoa; phylum Chordata; class Mammalia; order Primates; family Hominidae; genus Homo; species Homo sapiens. The sequence goes on from NC_000006.12 coordinate 117,025,845, forward strand.
CTCCATCTAACTTACCTAACACTTCTTCAATTCAGAAATTTGAACATATCTCTATCGGCTTCACTCATTTCTGACTCTGCTTTAGCCTTCTTTGATAAGACGGGGATTCCTTCAATTCCTCTTCCTACATGGGTCTCCTTTATGTAAATTCTATGGTCTAGTCCACCAAATCTGGCTTTCAAAGTAAAACTGTCAAGCATTTAATCTCATTGGCCAGGATTTGAGGAAGACTGCAGGTAGAACACTTTTTATGGGGGGAAAGAATCAATCAATCATAATAACTAACATTTATTGAAAACTTATAAGCCTGTTGAGCACTGTTCTAAGTGCTTTTAGATTTAATATCTTTTATCACTACAATAACTCCAGCATATTCCCCATGGTAGAAGAAATTGAGGAGCTAAAGAATTATGAAACATGTCTAGGGTTACATAGCTACTAAGTAGGGGAGCTGAGATTTGAAACCAGGCATTCTGGATCCAGAGCTCACATTCTTTGCAAAAAAAAAAAAAAAAATCTTTTTAGTGTGATATAATTCAAGCTATGAGAAAAATTATTTCCATAATGTTAGAGTAGTCACTGTTTCAAATGCTGCTAATCAGTTCAACTAGATAAGGACTGTAAAGAGGTCATTTGATTTGTGTAAGAAAGTGACTGTTGACCTTGGTGTTTTTGTTTGGGGAAGAGGGAAAGCAGTTACAGGGGTTGAAGATAAGTGAGAATTGAGAAATCGAAGAAGAAACTACACCACTCTTCCCAGGGAGTAGTTATAGATACATATAAGGTTGAAGGAGGGTTTTTGTTTTGTTTTTTAACTTAGGAGAAAATTGGGCACACCTAAATACTGACAGGGAAAGAACCTAGTAGAGAGAAAGATTACACAAGGCTAGCGGGGGATGCGAGAAACCTCCCCATACTTCATGAGAAGCAGCCCCAGCAATCTCAGGAGAGGCTCTCTTTGTTAGTTTTGGGGCTGATAAGCAAACAGTAGGATATAAATGTGAGGCTATGCAGGCCAATCCAACATTTAGAGATGGCTTTCCTCAGAACTGGTTGGCCAAGACCCAGAAGTTCATCATGAGAACTACACAACCGACTGACTTGTTTTGTTTTGTTTTGCTTTTAAAGAAAAAGCAATGACAACAAAAAACACCTAGTTAACAGACCAGCATCTGCATCCTCTTTGTCCTTCAAGAAGTACAAGCCAAGAGGGTTCAGAAATACACATAAGAATTTCCATTTGATAAAATACAAAGTTCAAGGCAGCCTTTGCTTTTAAAAGTTGTTTTCATGTTATGAAAGATCTAAGGCTATTAAATCTAGTGGCAATATGCAAGGGAAAGGAAACCACTTAAATATTGTTATCGTTCTAGTAATGGAAGAGTTGTTCAAAGCAAGTGCAGTGGGTAGTGCTCCTGATTCTCCTCCCAAAGCAGCATTTACCAGAGAGAAAAAAACATTGGTGGTTATCTGTAGTGGGCAAATGCTACAGTGCATTTTAGCAAAACTTTACTGAAAATTTCTCGTTTTCTTTTCTTATTGCCTAAGGCATGTTGTTTGTCAGGATTATTTTTCTATTTTAGCTGTGTGGTGATTTTAAAACACTGTCGATGTATTATAATGATCTACTATAAGCATAATGTGTAAAGTAACCCAGGTATAATATAATTTATAAAGACTTCATCAAGTTATTATCTGAGTTACTCATATTACTTTTAGCATCAACTGTCTTGTATTCTAAATATTTATGTATTTTTCTGGAATATCTATTTCTCTGTATGTCCTACTCTATCCATATTTTACATTGACTGGAAATATAACCATAAGTTTAGTGAATAAATTACTAATTTTCAAAAAAGTCTGCTAAAAAAAACCTAATAAAATTGTTTTGTGCTTTCTTTAAAACTTCAAGGAAGAAATCTTAGACAGGAAGGAAAAGAATTTCCTAGTAGTTTCCACAGAAATTGCACAATTTTCCCTGCCAAATACTACTCTTACTCTAAGATTGTCTCCCCATTTGTCTGTTTATATAATTGTGATTTTTCCTTGTCTTTCTCAAGTTGCAGTCTTAGAAAGAGTTTAACATCTAGTGTAAATTTTAGATCAAGGATAATTGTCTAATGGCAACCACATCTGCCATGGGTTGAGCCCCACTTTATCTCAGGAAAAGCCTGCCCACTAAATGCAATGCTTTGGGGCCTGCCTTGTAGCTGCCACCTTTTACTATAAACAGCATGAGAAATTCAAGGTCTGCAATTGAGGTAAGTGCTTCTAACAATTCTGGACAGCTTAAATAAGGAGAACAGCAAACCATCTTTTCAATTCAAGAAACAGAGTGAGATCTAAGGAATTTCCATGTTCATGACTTAAAAAAAAACAAAAAACTCATCTTTTCATTACATATGGCTATAGGAGCAAAAACAAAAATCCAAATTTTAACCTGGGTGTCATCAGGCATATCCCATACACCTGATGAAACTTACACTGGTTTCCCTCACATGCTATTTTGCTACACTTGAATGTGGATAATAAACCATTTGGTTTTCAGGCAGGAAACGAATGGCACAAACTAAGTAATTTGAGAATTTAATAAAGGGATTATTGACAAAAGCATGTGCAGGGAAAACCACAATACCACAGCATTTGTAAGAACTGGGTGCCATTACCACTTATAAACTTGAAGATGTGCAGAGATAGAGAAGTTATCAGAATGCAGAGAAAGAAAGGGCTACCAGATAGGAGCAGCAGGTTTTGGTAAAAATAATGCAGCCAACTCTCAATAACCTCATGGGGAGGGACTAGGGGAGTGAATAAACACTCTGACCTCATTGCTTTGTCATCTATCTACTCCTGGCACCTGAGTTTGTCCAGATCAATTTGTAAGTCACTGGAGAAGGAAACTTATTAAAACAAGTCAAAGTCTCAGGACATAAGGCAGGGTGGAGAAGGTAGTTAACCCAGAGACATTTAAAAGCTAAAAACTGTATCTCTCTAAATCTACCAATTTGATGCACATAAGTTATAGAAGATAGGGTAAGTATATATTTTAGTGCCAACAGATGTGACTCTTTGCAGAAGCTGGACGTTAGGTTCCATTATCTGTCACCAGCTTCATGGGTGGAGGGAGCAAGGGTATATGGGCAGCAGCAGGCATTCCTGACTTCTGGATCACAACTGTGATGTTTCTACTCTACCTCAAGCCAGAAGTCATGATTTCCACTCCTCCAATGATTTCTTTTTCTGCTTAAAATATCTAGAGTGGTTTTCCATTTTTTGAATTAAACTTTGACATCAAATTACAGCATGATGTAAAAGCATTGTAATTTCCTCATCTCAAGGAGTTTTCATGTATATGTCACTTTTGTACTTTAAGTCTTTTCAGTTGAGTTATATCCATGAATGCCCTAGAGAAGCTATTATTAAACCAAAGACTTGAAGAGAAGGCTCATACCCCAAATTAGCATCTGGACATAATTCTAATACTCACGTGAATGGTTTATGTTTACCTGGTCTTAACTGTGGCTTATTCTAAATGTATGTGACAGAGATTTTCTTTTTTTTTTCCTTTTAAAATTATTTTTATTACTATACTTTAAGTTCTGGGGCACAGGTGCACAATGTGCAGGTTTGTTACATGGGTATACATATGCCATGTTGGTTTGCTGCACCCATCAACTCATCATTTACATTAGGTATTTTGATTTTCATTAAATGTGAGGGAAAATATAATGAGTTTGAGAGAGAGGAATGTTGGCATGAATTTATAATGCATTACTTATTTACCCATCCTCTTTGACCCTTGAGAGGGACCAGAATGTATACATGTTCTTCTCTGGGGTCTCAAATACACATTGGCAGGGGGCAAGCCAGTATTTCTAAGAAGCTTTTTATTTAGTTATTCGTTGTATGCCAGGAAATGCTGGTAAGAGACAATGAAGTTGAAATGAGCTCTCTGAATACCACGAAGATTGGAAAGCCACAGAACGGCAGAAACAAAATAGTGTCACTTATCCTACAGCAGCTAAGTTAGTTTGGTACCATAGTAGATAGAAAAGCCAGTGCAGCTATCAAAATTGATTGGCCCCAAGAAATCTTTATTGTTGGTGAATTGATAATCTCAGTAAAGTTATATTTATGGTGTATAATAAAACAAAGAAAACTTTCCTAGTCTGATGAAGAAAAACCATTCCTAAATCAGAGTCAATATATAATCCCTGTACCATTTGAATAAGAAGAGGAGGCTATGTATCCTTGAGGAAGGGCCCTTAAATGCTGTCACAAGAGAACTATAAATATACATTTTCATCTTGTTGAAATGGATCTGCATCCATCTATCAAGGTAACTGTGTAGTAGGAAATAGGGCAATAAAAATACCCTTTCATGAATATTATATACTGACTCAGCTCTGAACCAATATGAGTCCCCGAATGTCACTGAAGTTTACCAGTCAGAATGTGATCAATAAAAGACATAAAATAAATGAAATTTCAACTTGAATATGCTTAATAGAAACCTAATTCTTCATGGTAAACCCAAAAGAAATCTAATCCTTTCCCAAAGTTATTTACCTAGTATCTAAGTATGTTGTTATCATGGAAATACCCATCAATTTTCTAGAATTCTCACATTGGTGCCCCAACTGTTATGGTACAAAATGCAAAATGGAAGACTGCGAAGTGACCCTGCCATACTAAAATTGCAACTCAAAGCAATGGCCCAGGCCAGCCCAGCCCTGGGGTAATTTCAGATTTAAAAACCACTACCAAACAGTTCAAAAATTTAGAGATTATAAGCTACATGTCTATATTGCTCTATAGTTTGCCAAGTGCAGAAGACAAATGGATATGTACAATGGTTTATTGTACACTTAACAACTTATTCAGTGATTAGTTTGTAGTTCCAGATATGTCATCCTTCCTGGAGCAAATCAATCCAGAACCTGTCATCTAACATATACTTGTTGATTTGATAAAGGATTTTCTCTAGTCTAATATTCAGAAAACACCAAACACTGTTTCTTTCACCTGGTCAGGGCACCAGCAAATCTTCGTGTTCTGAGTCAGGACAACATCAACTGTCCACATCTCTGACACAATGTAATCCATTGGTACTTTAACCATGTCAACCAGCATCTTTCCAGATATAACACTTGTTACTGAAGTGATATTAAAAAAAATGTCATGATCACTCTTTTGTGGTCTGCTGCCTGTCTGATCCACTACAGCTTTCTTAATCCCAGCAAAACCATTACATCTGAGAAGTACACTCAACAAATGGATGAGATGCACCGAAAACTGCAATGCTTGCAGCCGACATTGGTCAACAGAAAGGGCCCGATTCTTCTCCATGACAATGCCCAATCGCATGTCGCATAACCAATGCTTCAAAAGTCAAACAAATTGGGCTATGAATTGCCATATCATCTGTCATATTCAGCTGGCCTCTCGCCAACCGACTACCACTTCTTCAAGCATCTTGACAACTTTTTGCAGGAAAAACACTTCTACAAACAGCAGGATGCAGAAAATGCTTTCTAACAGTTTGTCGAATCCCAAAGCATGAATTTTTACACTACAGGAATACACAAACTTATTGCTCATTGGCCAAAATGTGTTGATTTTAATGGTCCCTATGTTGATTACTAAAGATATGTTTGGGCCTAGTTATAATAATTTAAAATTCACGGTCCAAAACCATAATTACTACTTTTGCACCAACCTAATATTATCTCTATAGGATTTTAAAAATAGAAAAGAGAACTATCTAATTTTTTTTTTATAACTCATATGAGTGTTAGGGCAGTGACTCGAAGTATGGCCCTGTTTACAAATTTTCTGTCACTGGTCCGCAATCAGATAAGAGTTCAGAAAAGTTTATAATGATTTGACAATGATGCAACAGCTAAGCATGAAATGAGTGGACTTGTCTAGTTGAGTTGATATTTCAGTGTATGGCAGATTGGAAATAAAAATAAAAACTATTTCACTACAGTCCATTTTGAAGCATTGTGCTAGAAAGTAGAAGATTAACTTCACAAGCCCCAGTAGGGCCCACTTCAGTGAAGTTTCCAGAATCCAGGTCTGAGACATTTTGGGATATTAGCTACAAAACAGAGAGCACATTTCTGTACCTTCCTGCCTGTGTCTACTGTTGGTAAAAAATCACAACAGGTGATGAGATTCATTGGATTTTAGAGATATCATATACTAACTAGTGCAACCATTTATTGGTGCATTAATTGGATGATTGGAAAACTACTAGATTTGAGGGAGTCCAGAGCAAAAAAAGGGTCAACCAACTTGGCCAGAGACAGTGCAAGAAGGTCTGCCACTTGGCCTTTATAAGCCAGTAGATCTAATTTTGCTCTAGTGAAGGCAATCCAGGATGCTGTACAGGGGTAGTGACAAGACCTAGGATTTTAGAGCAAAGCTATACCCCCAACAAGAAAACAATTTTCTATTTAAGAAACACTTCTACGGTGGCTCACGCCTGTAATCCCAGTACTTTGGGAGGCCGAGGTGGGTGGATCATGAGGTCAGGAGATCAAGACCATCCTGGTTAACATGGTGAAACCCCATCTCTCCTAAAAATACACACACACACACACACACACACACACACACACACACACACAAATTTAGGTGGGTGTGGTGGCAGGCGCCTGTGGTCCCAGCTACTCAGGAGGCTGAGGCAGGAGAATAGTGTGAACCCAGGAGGCGGAGCTTGCAGTGAGCCGAGATAGCACCACTGCACTCAAGCCTGGGCGACAGTGCGAGACTCCATGTCAAAAAATAAATAAATAAAAAATAAAAAAATAAAAATTAAACACTTCTTAGCTCATTACTGAACCAAAACACATTATGGGCATGTCAGATACACAAATTCATCTTAAAGTGAGAGGTGCCCAGAAACACTTTATTATCAAGTAGAAGTAGCAAGAATAGCCAGGCAGGTGAAGGATCTAAACAAAAATTGCCTATTCCTGCTGTATTGCCACTCCTTCCTCAAGCTACAACTTTGGCCTTTTTGGGAAGTTCCTAAGTCCGGTAAATTAAAGAGGACAACCATGTCTAGAGATGTCTTTATATAAGTTTCTGTAAAATATGCTCAATTCAGCCAAACTGGACTTCTGTGACATTACAGCCTTCTTTGAGGAAAGAAATGAAGATGTTGAAAGACAAAAAAAAAAAAAAAAGAGAAATCATCTCTGGGGCAGAAATTCAAGAATAAATCTTCTTGTCTATGTTGCCAGGCAGGAAAGGTGACCAGAAATAAGAATCTGCATTCAATTTATGAACTCGGGCTAGTAGAGTTGGTCTCTACTAGCCAGATGGTCATGGACCCAGAAGAAGAGTAACATGGAAGTTTGGGTCAAATGTATATGGATTGATCTTTTGGAATAGGTCCAGGATTTGAGGATATTTTTGTCTCATGTAAACCTCCGCCTTAAAGTCCTTCTCTATTGAGGAACACTTTAATGAGTACCACTTTAATGAGATGTCAGAAAGGATGACTTTCTCCTTACATGTCAGTTAGTATCCTTCCTAGCCTCTTTGGTGCTTGCTCAGTAGGATCATGGGCCCAATAATATGGACATACCCTTCTTTAGGATGATCTGGATATTTACCCAGTGAGTGCACTGTTGCCAACAGCAGGCATCCCCCTTTTGATGTCAGACAAAAGGAGACAACTCAGCTTCCTGGTGGAAAATAGGGTACTTTTATTGGCTACATCTACTGCTAATGTCCAATTTTCTACTCCTACTTGACTGTTCTTGAAGGTAGCAATTTGTTCTCACTGGAATAAATCTACATTCAGGATGTGGATTTATATTCCCCACTCATTATTTTCTGTTAGGGACACCATCTGTGTACTTCTAGAATGCCTATATGTCACCACGGTGTCCTACCTAATTTAGCTTTCAATTGACAGTGAAAGAAGTATAGAAATAGCCTGATGTCCATGGAATTTACTCATCTTATGTGCCATGTCATCCAGAAGTGGCTACCCTAAAAAAAATGGAGGAATGATCTATTGAAACCTCACTTATTTTGCCTCCTGGAAGATAATGTCTTGTGAGATTGTGGGTGTTCTATAGGATACAGGATATTCTCTGAGGTAGCCACACACAAAAGCATCCTTTTCCCCTGATTCACGCTCTAAGAAAATGTATGATTCTGTTTCTGTCATAGTCAGAATATATCAATCCAAGAAACAAGGATAGAAGTAGGAATAACAATTCCCAAGGTTAGACCTAATGTTCAAACCTGCAAAATTTGTGCTATCCTATCTTCATATCTACAGCCTTTGATAATTTAAAGAAATAAATGTTTCCCCTAACGGACCCTCAAAAAATAATTCTGCTAAACTAGCAGATGAGACTTCCAGCTAGCTTTTTATATCTCCCCACGGCACTAGAAAAAATAAAATAAAATAAAAGGGTGAGGTTATAGTGCAGCCAAGAGTGATTGATCCTGATTGTTAAGAAATAGGGTTGTTTCTTCCTGATGGCAGCAAAGAGATGAATGGAACTTAACGGCAGATTGCAAGCCCATGTGGCTAGTACTATCAAGGGCTCAGATGCTGTAGGTATGATGATGGGTGACTTCAGGAGGTAAGGAACTCCATCTAGCTGAATTTTAAGCTGAAGGAAAAAAGAATATGAATGGTAATAGATAAAGGATAGTTTTGAACCTGTGTTCTTATTAGGATTAGAGTTTGCACCTATATGCTTCCTTGCTGTGCATTTATCTATTTGTATTTATATAATTTCATAAATTTCTATTTTCTTTTTTCTTTATTTCTTCCCTCTTGTTTTTAGAGTTTATTGTGGGTTGTTGAGTTTACATTTTATGATTCACAGAACCTGAGGGCAGGATGAGACAGAATTCAAAAGAAGATGACATCACTCCAAAATCCTGAACATGGAGATGGAAGCAGTAAAGCATGGAACCTGGGTTATTTCACTTTGGGCAGGGAAGAGTATATGGCATTATAGTAGTGGGAGCATTTTTGTGTGTGTGGAAGCAAAAATATGGGTCGGTGGACAAACGTGTATTTTATATAAACATGGTAGTGACCATTTGTGATTTTTATACCTGCCACACATTCTTTTTAAAAGAATTCTCTCACCGTATAAGTTTTTTTGTGGAAGGTGAAAGACAAAGAGATAGGTTTTCTTCTATTTATTCTCTGTTAGCAAAGAAATTGTCTCAAAACTAAAACTTGACCAATCAGACATTCCTATATTAGGACTTCACATTTTCCGTGAATCGACTAACCATGGCATCAGAGCTGTAGGATTTGGCAGTGGCAGCTGTTTACAGCTGCTGTGTGCACAGCACATGCATAGACCATATGGTTCTGCTGATGAGCTGCTAGAGCACCCCCAACTTGCACCTACTTCTTCAGTTTTGTGAATCATGTGAGCCTCCCTGTGAACTTCTGTTAAATTCTTTTTTACTAAAGACAGGAATAGTTTGTTTCCCCTGCAGGTACCAAGAAGCCGGCTCTACCTTCAAAATACAAACTCTATGAGACTAAAAGGAGATGAATTACCATCTCCTTTTTATAGATGAGGAAACTGAGGTGCAGAAATATTAGGTAATTTGCCCATAATGCTAGTAAGTGGGAACACAAAATTTGAGTTTTAACAGTTGCCTCTAAAAATCGATAGACTTTATTTTGCTCTCATTCTACTTTCCTGTATGGTTTATTTCATCATTGCCCTATGCAGTTTCCATAGAATTCTCTTTCCTCCACTTCATAGCAAACTGGCTTTTCTTGGAACCCATAATGCTCACTGCCTAGACTACACATTGAGCAAATTAGCACATTCTGCTTTTGATTTACTGTTTTAGTGGCAATTGGTAAGTAATAGTATTAAATGTCTTCTTTTTAAATTTTCATCTATGTCTTTTCAGTTAGTCCAGGCATTTCTTTAAGGTAAGAGATAAACTTTTTTTCAGCTACAATGCTGAGCACATAACAAAAGCACAGTTAATATTTGTTTGTCTTATCTTCTCTTTATCAAAGTAATTTTAATTACTTATACTAATTTCTCTTTGTCACTAATTAGTTTTAGTCTCAGTCCTAACAATAGAAAAAATAACTGGTTGCTTCTTTATCATCCAGTTTTTCAAAAACCTGCCTCCCTTTAAATTCATGCTCACTTATCTCAAGTGGGTCCTTAGGCTTCTCATCATGAGCATGCATTTCCCTTCTTCATCCCCTCACAACCTTCTCTGGATGCTTATTTCGAACTACTTGCTCTTCCCTTGCATATAGCTAATGACTTTGGTTTCATTTCATAAGAAAGGGGATGCTGTCGGATGAGAACTTCTGCAGCTCTCACAACAAAGGCCCACCTATTTGCATATGTGCCCATATATTTTGCCTCTTCAGCTCTTCCTATGGTTAAATTGCCCATGTTCCTTTCTAAGACAAACCGCTTCACTTCTCCAAAGCCTATCCTCTCTCACCTATTTAAGGAAATCACTCCAGCAATTGAACTTCACCTCTTACATAAATTTTCCCACTTGATAACATTATCCCGAGCAATATGCAGCTATGCTAAATAATACCTATTGATATTACTTGGATCTCTGTCCCCACCCAAATCTCATGTTGAGTTTTGATCCTGAGTGTTGGAGATAGGGCCTGGTGAGTGGTGATTGGATCATGGGGATGGTTTCTAATGGTTTAGCACAATCTCCCTAATGCTGTCTCATGATAGAGATGTCACAAGATCTGGTTGTTTAAAAGTGTGTAGTATCTTCCCCTTCTTTCTCTCTCTCTCCTGCTCCACCATGGTAAGATGTGTTTGCTTCCCCTTCACCTTCCACCATGCTTCTAACTTTCCTGAGGCCTCCCAGCCATACTTCCTGTACAGCCTCTGGAATTGTGAGTCAATTAAACCTCTTTTCTTTATAAATTATGCAGTCTCAGGGATTTCTTTATAGCGGTGTGAAAACAGACTAATACACCCATCTTTGAAAACATCTGCCTTCACCCTAAATATCCTTCCAGTAACATCTCCATTTCTCTGTTCCTGTTTATAGCAGAATTCACAAAATAGTCTATATCCTGTCTCCATCTCTTCCCTTCTCATTTTATTTACTACTCCTCTGAAACAGTTCTTGAGAAGGTCACTGATAACCTCTACTGACAAAGTCCAGTGGTCATTCTCAGTCCTCTGATCAGAATCAAGTGGCACAGTTAATCAGTCCTGCCTTTTCAAAACACTTCTCACTTGATTTCCAGGATATGTAGCCTCTTGATTTTCTGTCTTCACAGTTGGGACCTTCTCAGTTGTTCTCTTCCAGCTCTTTCTCATATCCCAGACTTGCAAATATTCGAGGGCCTGCAGTTTAGTCCTCTTACCTTTTCTCCATCTGCTCTCAGTCCCTCAAGGAACTCATTGAGTCTGACATATTACATACTCATTTGTTTGTAAACTCCATGAAAGTAATGACTTGACCTGTGTTCCCTTGTACCTTCCTTGTCAACTAAAGACCCAACACCTGGAACTTACCTGGAAGATAATAATTACTGAATACATCTTGGGTGCATGAACATTTAAGTATTCTTTTTTTTGCAGGCACCACATTTATTCCTATTATTACTCCTTCCTCCAAGACCATTTTGCTATACAGACATGGCTCTTAATGCTACAGTGGGCATATTTCATGGTACTTGCCCCCTCACAGTCTCAAAGGAAAGCTTATTTATGTCACTCAACTCCCCTATCCAGCAGAGCCAATAGACCCCTTTTGAGTGGATACACAAAGGTCTAAGTCTTAATCAACTAATGGGGTGGACATTGACTTGTGACTTCTCTGTTTTTCTAAACCAGGCATAAGACATATGAATGAAGACACCTTTAAGATGACTCCAACCCCAGTCACCATCTGACCAAAGCCCATGTGAACCCCTGGGCAGGAACTATCTAGTTCATCCCAGTGAGTCTCCAGATTTGAGAGCAATACTAATGATTGTTATGGTTTTGACTCACTAAATTTGGATGGTTAATTTTTTTTATTATTATACTTTAAGTTATGGGATACATGTGCAGAACGTGCAGGTTTGTTACATAGGTATACATGTGTCATGGTGGTTTGCTGCACCTATCAACCTGTCATCTACATTAGGTATTTCTCCTAATGCCATCCCTTCTCTATCCCCCCACCCACTGACAGGCCCCAGTTTGTGATGTTCCCTTCCCTGTATACATGTGTTCTCCTTGTTCATCTCCTACTATGAGTGAGAACATGTGGTGTTTGGTTTTCTGTTCCTGTGTTAGTTTGTGAGAATGATGGTTTCCAGCTTCATCAATGTCCCTGCAAAGGACATGAACTCATCGTTTTTTATGGCTGCATAGTATTCCGTGGTGTATTTGTGTCACATTTTCTTTATCCAGTCTATCACTGATGGGCATTTTGATTGTTCCAAGTCATTGCTATTATGAACAGTGCTGCAATAAACATATGTGTGCATGTGTCTTTATAGTAGAATAATTTATAATCCTTCGGGTATATATCCAGTAATGGGATTGCTGGGTCAAATGGTATTTCTGGTTCTAGATCCATAAGGAATTGCCACACTGTCTTCCACAATGGTTTAACTAATTTACAGTCCCACTAACAGTGTAAAAGCATTCCTATTTCTCCACATTCTCTCCAACATCTGTTGTTTCCTGACTTTTAATGATGATACATTAATGGAATGTATCTCATTCCATTTTCACATGTTTGTTGACTGCATAAATGTCTTCTTTTGAGAAGTGTCTGTTCATATCCTTGGCCCACTTTTTGATGGGGTTGTTTGTTTTTTTCTTGTAAATTTGTTTACATTCCTTATAGACTCTGGATATTAGCCCTTTGTCAGATGGATAGATTGCAAGAATTTTCTTCCATTCTGTAGGTTGCCTGTTCACTCTAATGAGAGTTTCTTTTGCTGTGCAGAAGCTCTTTAGTTTAATTGCATCCCATTAGTCAATTTTGGCTTTTGTTGCAATTGCTTTTGGTGTTTGAGTCATGAAGTCTTTGCTCATGCCTATGTCCTGAACAGTATTGTCTAGGTTTTCTTCTAGGGTTTTTATGGTTTTAGGTCTTACGTTTAAGTCTTTAATCCATCTTGAGTTAATTTTTGTATAAGATGTAAGGAAGGGGTTCAGTTTCAGTTTTCTGCATATGGCTAGCCAGTTTTCCCAACACCATTTATTCAATAGGGAATCCTTTCCCTATTGCTTGTTTTTGTTAGGTTTGTCAAAGATCAGATGGCTATAGATGTGTGGTATTATTTCTGAGGCCTCTGTTCTGTTCCATTGGTCTATATAACTGTTTTGGTACAAGTACCGTACTGTTTTGGTCACTGTAGCCTTGTAGTATAGTTTGAAGTCAAGTAGCGTGATGCCTCCAGTTTTGTTCTTTTTGCTTAGGATTGTCTTGGCTATATGGGCTCCTTTTTGATTCCATGTGGAATTTAAAATAGTTTTTTCTAATTCTTTGAAGAAAGTCAGTGGTAGCTTGTTGGGGATTCATTGAATCTATAAATTACTTCTGGCAGTATGGCCATTTTCACTATATTGATTCTTCCTATCCATGAGCATGGAATGTTTTTCCATTTGTTTGTATCCTCTGTTATTTCTTTGAGCAGTGATTTGTAGTTGTCCTTGAAGAGGTCCTTCACATCCCTTGTAAGTTGTATTCCTAAGTATTTTATTCTCTTCGTAGCAATTGTGAATAGGAGTTCACTCATGATTTGGCTCTCTGTTTGTCTATGACTGGTGTATAGGAATGCTTGTGATTTTTGCACGTTGATTTTGTATCCTGAGACTTTGCTGAAGTTGCTTATCAGCTTAAGAAGATTTTGGGCTGAGATGATGGGGTTTTCTAGATATACAATTATATCATCTGCAAACAGAGACAATTTGACTTACTGTTTTCCTGTTTGACTACCCTCTATTTCTTTCTCTTGCCTCATTGCCCTGGCAAGAACTTCCAATATTATGTTGAATAGGAGTGGTGAGAGATGGCATCTTTGTCTTGTGCTGGTTTTCAAAGGAAATCCTTCCAGCTTTTGCCCATTCAGTATGATATTGGCTGTGGGTTTGTCATAAATAGCTCTTATTATTTTGAGATACATTTCATCAATACCTAGTTTATTGAGAGTTTTTAGCATGAAGGGGTGTTGAATTTTATTGAAGGCCTTTTCTGCATCTGTTGAGATTATCATGTGGTTTTTGTCACTAGTTCTGTTTATATGATGGATTACGTTTATTGATTTGTGTATGGTGAACTGGTGCTTCATCCCTGGGATGCAGTATTTTATTGAGGATTTTTGCATGGATGTTCACCAGGGATACTGGCCTGAAATTTTCTTTTTGTGTGTGTGTGTCTCTGCCAGGTATTGGTATCAGGATGATGCTGGCCTCATAAAATGAGTTAGGGAGGATTCCCTCTTTTCCTATTGTTTGGAATAGTTTCAGAAGGAATGGTACCAGCTTCTCTTTGTACCTCTGGTAGAATTTGGCTATGAATCTATCTGGTCCTGGGCTTTTTTTGGTTGGTAGGCTATTAATTACTGCCTCAATTTCAGAGCTGTCATTGGTCTGTTCAGGGATTCAACTTCTTCCTGGTTTATTCTTGAGTGGGTGTATGTGTCCAGGAATTTATCCATTTCTTCTAGATTTTCTAGTTTATTTGCATAGAGGTGTTTATAGTATTCTCTGATGGTAGTTTACATTTCTGTGGAATCAGTGGTGATATCCCCTTTTTTATTTATTTATTTATTTTTTGAGACAGAGTCTCGCTCTGTTGCCAGGCTGGAGTGCAGTGGCGTGATATTGGCTCACTGAACCTCTGCCTCCTGGGTTCAAGCAATTCTCCTGCCTCAGCTTCCCGAGTAGCTGGGACTACAGGCGTGCACCACCATGCCCAGCTAATCTTTGTATTTTTAATAAAGATGGGGTTTCACCATGTTGGCCTGATGGTCTCGATCTCTTGACCTTGTGATCTGCCAGCCTTGGGCTCCCAAAGTGCTGAGATTACAGGTGTGAGCCACTATGCCCGGCCCCCGTTATTTATTTATTTGTATTGTGTCTCTTTGATTCTTCTCTCTTTTATTCTTTATTAGTTTGGCTAGTGGTCTATCTATTTTGTTGATCTTTTTAAAAAAAAAAACAGCTTCTGGATTCATTGATTTTTTTTAAGGGTTTTTTTGTGTCTCTATCTCCTTCAGTTCCACTCTCTGATCTTAGTTATTTCTTGTCTTCTGCTAGCTTTTGAATTTGTTTGCTCTTGCTTCCCTAGTTCTTTTAATTGTGATGTTAGGGTGTCGATTTTAGATCTTTTCTGCTTTCTCCTGTGGGCATTTAGTGCTATAAATTTCCCTCTAAACACTGCTTTAGCTGTGTCCCACAGATTCTGGTATGTTGTGTCTTTGTTCTCATTGGTTTCAAATAATTTATTTATTTCTGCCTTAATTTCATTGTTTATACAGTAGTCATTCAGGAGCAGGTTGTTCAGTTTCCATGCAGTTGTGTGGTTTTTAGTCAATTTCTTAGTCCTGAGTTCTAATTTGATTGCACTGTGGTCTGAGAGACTGTTACAATTTCCATTCTTTTGCATATTCTGAGGAGTGTTTTACTTCCAATTATGTAATCAACTTTAGAATAAGTGCAATGTGGTGCTGAGAAGAATGTATATTCTGTTGATTTGGGGTGAAGAATTCTGTAGATGTGTATTAAGTCTGCTGGGGCCAGAGCTGAGTTCAAGTCCTGAATATCTTTGTTAATTTTCTGTCTTGTTGATCTGTCTAACATTGACAGTGGGGTGTTAAAGTCTCCGACTATCATCGTGTGGGAATCTAAGTCTCTTTGTAGATGTCTAAGAACTTGCTTTATGGATCTGGGTGCTCCCGTATTGGGTGCATATATGTTTAGGATAGTTAGCTCTTCTTGTTGCATTGATCCCTTTACCATTATGTATGTAATGCCCTTCTTTCTCTTTTTTGATTTTTGTTGGTTTAAAGTCTGTTTCATCAAAGACTAGGATTGCAACCCTTGCAACCTTTGCTTTCCATTTGCTTGGTAAATATTCCTCCATTCCTTTATTTTGAGCTTATGTGTGTCTTTGCACATGAGGTGCTTCTCCTGAATACAGCACACCAATAGGTCTTGACTCTTTATCCAATTTGCCAGTCTGTGTCTTTTAATTGGGGCATTTAGCCCATTTACATTTAAGGTTAATATTGTTACGTGTGTATTTGATCCTGTTGTTATGATGCTAGCTGGTTATTTTGCCTGTTAGTTGATGCAGTTTCTTCATAGTGTTGATGGTCTTTACATTTTGGTATGGTTTTGCAATGGCTGGTACCAGTTTTTCCTTTGCATGTTTAGTACTTCCTTCAGGAGCTCTTGTAAGGCAGGCCTGGTCATGACAAAATCTCTCAGCATTTGCCTGTCTTTAAAGGATTTTATTTCTCCCTTCGCTTATGAAGCTTAGTTTGGCTGGATATGAAATTCTGGGTTGAAAATTCTTTTCTTTAAGAATGTTGAATATTGGTCCCCACTCTCTTCTGACTTGTAGGGTTTCTGCCAAGAGATCTTCTGTTAGTCTGATGGGCTTCCCTTGTGGGTAATCTGACCTTTCTCTCTGGCTTCCCTTAACATATTTTCCTCCATTTCAACCTTGGTGAATCTGATGATTACGTGTCTTGGGGTTGCTCTTCTCAAGGAGTATTCTTGTGGTGTTCTCTGTAATTCCTGAATTTGAATGTTGGCCTGTCTTACTAGGTTGTGGAAGTTCTCCTGGATAATATTCTGAAGAGTGTTTTCCAACTTGATTCCATTCTCCCCATCACTTTCAGGTACACAAATCAATGTACGTTTGGTCTTTTCACATAGTTCCATATTTCTTGGAGGCTTTGTTCATTCCTTTTCATTCTTTTTTCTCTCATCTTGTCTTCTTGCTTTATTTCGTTAAGTTGATCTTCAATCTCTGATATCCTTTCTTCCACTTGATCGATTCAGCTATTGATACTCGTGTATGCTTCACGAAGTTCTTATGGTGTGTTTTTCAGCTCCATCAGCTCATTTATGTTCTTCTCTAAACTGGTTATTCTAGTTAGCAATTCCTCTAACCTTTTATCAAGGTTCTTAGCTTCCTTACATTAGGTCAGAACATGCTCCTTTAGCTCGGAAGAGTTTGTTATTAACCACCTTCTGAAGCCTACTTCTGTCAATTTGTCAAACCCATTCTCCATCCAGTTTTGTTCCCTTGCTGGTGATGAGTTGTGATCCTTTGGAGGAGAAGAGGCATTCATTCTGGTTTTTAGAATTTTTGGCCTTTTTGTGCTGGGTTTTCCTCATCTTCATGGATTTATCTACCTTTGTTCTTTGATGTTGTTGACATTTGGATGGGGTTTTTGTGTACGTCCTTTTTGTTGATGTTGATGCTATTCCTTTCTGTTCTGTTAGTTTTCCTTCTAACAGTCAGGCCCTTCTGCTGCAGGTCTGCTGGAGTTTGCTGGAGTAACACTCTAGACCCTGTTTGCCTGAGTGTCACTAGCAGAAGCTGCAGAACAGCAAAGATTGCTGCTTGTTCCTTCCTCTGGAAGCTTCGACCCAGAGGGGCACCTGCCAGATGCCAGCCAGAGCTCTCCTGCATGAGATGTCTGTCGACCCCTGCTGGGAGTTGTCTCCCAGTCAGGTGGCACAGGGGTCAGGACCCACTTGAGGAGGCAGTCTGTCCCTTAGCAGAGCTTGAGCGCTGTGCTGGGAGATTTGCTGCCCTCTTCAGAGCTGGCAGGCAGGAACATTTAAGTCTGCTGAAGCTGCGCCCATAGCTGCCCCTTGCCCCATGTGTTCTGTCCCAGGGAGATGGGAGTTTGATCTATAAGCCCCTGACTGTGGCTGTTGCCTTCCTTTCAGAGATGCCCTGCCCAGAGAGGAGGAATTTAGATAGGCAATCTGGCTACAGTGGCTTTGTGGAGCTGCAATGGGCTTCGCCCAGTTTGAACTTCCTGGGGGCTTTGTTTACAAAAGGGGAAAACCGCTTACTCAAGCCTCAGTAATGGTGGATGCTTCTCCCACCTCCAAGCTCAAGCATCCCAGGTTGAATTCAGACTGCCATGCTGGCAGTGAGAATTTCAAGCCAGTAGATCTTAGCTTGCTGGGCTTCATGGGGGTGGGATCTGCTGTGCTAGATCACTTGGCTTCCTGGCTTCAGCCCCCTTTCCAGGGGAGTGAAGGTTTCTGTCTCATTGGTGTTCCAGGCATCACTGGCATATGAAAAAAAAAAAACTCCTGCAGCTAGGTCGGTGTCTGCCCAAATGGCTGCCTAGTTTTGTGCTTGAAACCCAGGACCCTGGTGGCATAGGCAACCGAGAGAATCTCCTGGTCTGTGGGTTGCTAAGACCATGGGAAAAGCATAGTATCTGGGCCGGAGTGCACCATTCCTCATGGCACAGTCACTCAAGGCTTCCCTTGGCTAGGGAAGGGAGTTCCCTGACCCCTTGCACTTCCTGGGTGAGGTGACACCCCACTCTGCTTCAGCTAGCCCTCCATGGGCTGCATCCAGTGTCTAACCAGTCCCAATGAGATAAGCTGGGTACCTCAATTGGAAATGCAGAAATCACCCGCCTTCTGCATTGATCTCGCTGGGAGCTACAGACCGGAGCTATTCCTATTTGGCCATCTTGCCAGCCCTGTTCAATATTCTTAATATTTAAAGAGTTACTTTATATGAATAGAAAAGATAAAAACTAATAAACTGAGCAAAAGATAGGAGTAAAAAGTGATTGCTTAATATATTAAAGGATGCCCAATCTCATTCATAAGAGAAATGCAAATTTCAACCATAATATGCCATTTTTCCCCAAGTGATGGCAAGGATGTGGGGCGGGGTGGTTCTCATATATTTCTGATGGTAATATAAACTGGTGAAATTTGTATGGAAAATAATTTAGCAATATCTGTCAGAATTAAAGGTGAACATAACATTTACCCATCAATTCCACTTTTCACAATGTGTATATCAGATATTCTCATGCACCACACAAAGATATATGGAGTTACTCACTTTTGCAGTGCTTTTTGGAATGGTCAACATTGGACACAACCTAAATATCCTTCAATAGGGAAATATGATGAAATATTACACAACTTTTAAAAGGATGTTTGTCATGGAACTGACATGGAATTGCCTCTGTAATGTACTAATTTTTAAAAGAAAAATACAAAATAGGGCATAGAATATGCTATCAATTGTGTGGGGAAAAAAACCTCAGATACTTGTATATGTGCTTAGAGCATTCCTGAAAAGATAAGCAGAAAGAAATAACACTAGTAGACTTCAGGTGGGAAAAATGGCAACTAAGAATGAAATAGAAGAGAACCATCTGTTACTGCATGCTTTTGAATTTTGAACTATGTGAGTAAATTACTTATTAAAAAAACAAATATCAGTCAGTTCTGACATAAAAGGAACCTATGAGTCATCATTCCCATGCTTATAACAAGAAAAAAAGCTGAACAAATAAAAATTCAGTTACTTTCCCTGGAGTCCTGAAAAAATTGAGATCACAGAACAAATTGCTACCCCAAAATCTGGAAAGAAGGGTAAATAAAGAAAATCACAGCCACAGTCAGCTTACCTGGAGCACAAGTTGATAGAGCCAAAATTGGTAGGAACACTTAAATGGTAACTTTGATGAATTGCTGGAGGCTGAGTGTGGACTGACATGAGAGTGAAAAAGTCCAGGGTGCTGTAGTCTCAGGAATCCCACCTGGATCTTGTGAGAAAGAGACAAGAAAAATTCCACTTTTGTGCTGCTCCCGCAAATCTCAATAAGTTGTATTTATATTTTCATTTAGTTTAAAATACTTTTAGTTTCTCAGACTTCTTCCACCTATGGTTATTAGAAGTGTGTTGTGTTATCTCTAAACATTTTGAAAATTTTCACCTATCTTTCTGTTAATTACTAGTTAAATTACATTGTAATCTGAAAACATAAACTATATATTCTTCTTTATTAAGGTGTATTTTATGGGCCATCTTGGTGGATATTCCATGGGGGGTTGAGAAGAATGTGTATTCTGCTGTTGCTGGATGGAGTAGTCTATAAATGTCAATTTGATCAACTTGGTTGACAGCACTGTTCAGGTCAACTCTATCTTTACCAATTTCTGCCTCATCAATTACTTAATGAGGAGTAATGGAGTCTCCAACTGTAATAGTGTATTTGTCTTGCAATTTTATCATTTTTACCTCATATTTTAATATTCTATTGGTAGATGAGTACATGATAAAGATTGTTATGACTTCTTGGGGAATTGGCTCTGATAATTGATCTCTGATTATTTTCCTTGTTCTGAAGTCTTCTTTTTCTAAAACTGATGTCGCCTTCTTCCCCCGTATGTCTGTATCTTCAAGTGGCATTTTCCTCTTCTTATAAGAAGGAAACTTACATGTATATTACTAAGTAAAACAAGCCAGTCTTAAAAATGCTATATGCTGTATAATTCCAATTATATTACATTCTAAAAAAGGAGAAATTGTAAAGCCAGTAACAAGATCAATAGTTGCTGGGGTTAGAGGATAGGGGAAGTGTTGAACAGGTGAAAAACAAGGAATTTTAGGACAGTGAAACTATCCTGTAATTATGGACACATGACATCATACATTTGTTAAAACCCATAAACTTTACTTAAAAAGGAGTAAGCTTTAATGTATGCAAATTTTCAAAAAAGCATTTAGGATGTGAGGGGATCCTGGGAAAAAAATGCAGACAATGACAAGAGAATCTATCTATTACAAGTGTGTGGAACCTCACTGAAAGGGGTGGGTGGAAAGGTATGATCTAAGTAACTTTGAAATGAGTAGAATTTCTAAGACTTAAGGCAAAGGAACTTACTTACATACCTATAAATATTTCTATATGTAACTAGCTGTATCTATAGTAAGCTATTTGTGATCCCATACTGATAGACATAAATGATTGAATAAATTAATAAATCAGGAAAAAGAGACAGAACTCTACAAATAAACTCTCCCTCTCAAACCTTCTATATTCTCTACATGTCTACCTCTGATTATCTTTTTTAAATTTTTTAATTTTATATACAAAGAACTAGCATGGTTTCTTTCATGGGGTGGAGAATTCCAAGTAATTTATGCAGATATTCCAAGCCCAAGGAGGGGATGCATAAGGCTTTACTCTTTAAGCGTGGGCTCAACACTCTTCAAGTGTGGGGCTCAATATTTCTCCAAGGTAAAATTGCTCCTTTTCCCCTCTTAGGAAGGAAGTCAGAGTACTATATGGAAGAGGAGCAATTTTACAGTGGAGAAATATTGCAAACACTACACTTTAGCCAAGTAATCAAATAACATCATCAGGGATTATTCATGTTGATAGTATATGCCCTTGATATGATGAAATGATAATGGTACTTTGTGTCTGTGATCTTCCCCCCATACCCTAGTTTTATTAAGAAAAAATATTAGAAAAATTTCAATAGAGATGTATCCTATATGACACCTGGAGAGTATTCCTCACAACTGTAAAGGTCATCAAAAACAATAAGTCTGAGAAAATATCCCAGCCAAGAATAAGCTATGGAAACGTGGCTACTAAACATAATGTCGTATCTTGGATGGGATCCTCCTGAACAGAAAAAGGACATTAGGTAAATACTAAGTAAATCCGTATAGAGTATGGAGTTTAGTTGACAATAATGCACCAACATTGATTCATTAATTGTAACAAATGTACCATACTAATGTAAGATGTTAATGATTGGGGAAACTTGGTGCTGGTATATGGGAACTCTATTATTTTCTCAATTCTTCTGTAAATCTAAAAATTTTTAAAATAAATTCTTTTAAAAATAGACAATGAAAAATTCTATATGGGAAAATATTTTAAAATATATTATTTGAAATGTATGTCACCAAACTTTGACTACTCCCTTTGTTGTCACACTCAATTACTCTCCCATTTTAATGCGATTGCAATATTTGACTCAGTGACTTCCATTATCAGTAACTTCTACGTCCATGTGGCTAATCCCTGCAGTGTGCTGGTTTCTCTCAGCCTTCTGACTTGCAAAGATATTTTTTCCTTCACTCTATCCTAACCATCTACTCCAGAGCCACATCTTTGACTTTACCACCACCAATGACAGCACAATCTCAAAAAGGTCCATTTCAAATACCCCTTTCTATGTACCCTCCAGCTTGTCTTTCGATCTCACCTGCTTTAGAACTCCTACTCAAGCAATCCTTTCCTCTCATTTAGATCTCCAACCCACTAAATCTACCATTCTTTCAATAGGCATTACCACTTTATGCCTCTCTTACCCAGCTTAGATTCTATCTCTCTCATGACAAAACCCTTAATTCCCTCACATGCTCTCCTTCCATCAGTCTAATGTGCCAAAAGGCTCAACACAAGTAATCCTATCTGCCTATTTCTTGCTTGATTCAATGCTGGAAATGCTGGAAAATGCTGGAAAAAAAATATGCCACTCTTTTTGCTTGCTTTAAATCCATGACCTCTATCGCAAATGAGCCTTCAGTTCTACCTATTAATTCTACCACATTTGACTAGAATTTTTAAATTTTCTGCTCTCCAAATAAACTCTCCCTCCAAAACCTCCTATATTCCCTATGCCATGTCTACCTCTGATTTTTATTTTATTTTATTTTATTTTATTTTATTTTATTTTATTTTATTTTATTTTATTTTATTTTATGTACAAAGAGCTACCATGGTTTCTTTCATGAGGTGGTTGCCTTGGACAACCCATTCAAGGAAGATCACTTAGTCCAACTTAATGAAATCTATATCTTTTGTATACTGACGGAAACACTGGCAGCACATATTGAGGCCATGTTTTTGGATCACAACAATGCAAGTTTGAGTAGATGTGATAAGAGTGAGAACTCTGACCAAATCTTCACAGATGGCTCCAGTAGAGCTGCTGGTGACCCACCTTGCTTTCAGGTACCTCTGATTATCTTATGCTGTACTCTTTGCTACTCCCATCAAGGTCTAGCCACATCACCATCCTTCTCTCCTTGAACACACTAAACCTATTTCAATCTTAAGTCTTTATATGAGCCATTCTCTTTGCCTGGAATGTTCTTGCCCTTATCTTCACATCACTGATTCCTTAACATTCAGGTCCCAGCTTTCATGGCACCTCCTTAGAGAAACCTTTAAGGAGGCTGAGGCGGGCAGATCATGAGGTCAGAAGTTTGAGACCAGCCTGACCAACATGGTGAAACCCCATCTCTACTAAAAATACAAAAATTAGCTGGGCATGGTGGTGGGCGCCTGTAATCCCAGCTACTCAGGAGGCTGAGGCAGGAGAATTGCTTGAACCTGGGAGGTGTAGATTGCGTGAGCTGAGATCATGCCACTGCACTCCAGCCTGGGTGACAGAGCAAGACTCTGCCTAAAAAAAAAAAAAAAGTAGCCATTCAATCACTTTCTGTCACATCACAACATCACACCATTTTAATTCTCTGCATAAGACTAATAACTATTTGATAGTTCTTTTATCCATTATTAGTTGATTTCCTTGTTATTTAACTCCTGCCTCTAAAATGTAAGCTCCATGAGAGCTGAGACTGTATGGACCTAGAACAGAACTGAAATGTATTAGGCACTCAATAAATATTTTCTAATGAATGCAGTCATCATGTCTATTTGAAATAATATGAAAAAGTAACATAGTTATAGGTCAGATTACTTGAGAAGTAGGCTATGAGATAGAAATTAGCATTTTATTAGAGTGTGCTTTCAGAATTAATATCAGTGAGGGAAAAGGAAGCAGGATTGGACAAAGGGAAAAGGTGGCTGGAATATAGCCACAACACAGGTCTTGCTTAGCCCTGCAGAGAACTCTGGACCTTGGGTAACCCTTCAGAGATAACTCAAGTTGGGGTAGAAGGGTCAGGTTTTTGCATTACTTTCCCCTCTTGGATCAAGCAATTACTAGATGCAGGGCCCAGGAAGGTGATGTAATCTGAACCAAATGGCTCTTTTCAGCCAAGGGCAGTTTCCAGGGAATGCTGATGGGAGAGGGCTGAGGGCCACCAGCTGGCAGCACTCTTGAAAGCTAGGGGATAGGTTCTTCACTCCTGAGTGAAAACTTGAACCATGTAGTCCCATTTCTTCCCATAAGTCCTGACAGCAGCTCCTTCAAGATTCTGGAGGGCTCTTTTCTTGGAGGAAACTTACAAGAAGATTAGTGGGCCAGCTGTAGCCCATTCTGCTGCAGCTTTTCCCAGGGCCACAAATGATACTCATCATTTCCTTCTTCTAATATCCATTCTAGATTCTCCTTATCATCAGTAGTACATCTTGAACTTGTTGGTTTTCCTGGAAAGATGAACCAGACTCTCAGACTTCAGGTGTCTGCATCCCTGGCGTCCATACTCAGGCTGAGGTTGCTACATTTGTCCATTTATTGTCAAAATTAGGCAAAAGAGTACCCAAGGACATCCATGTGGATCACTGGGATGTCAAATACATTCTTCCCTGCCACCACTGTGCAGCAGCCCTACCTCCTCCTGGTAAATTATCAGGGTAAATTATGCCTGCCAGAATAGTGACTCCTCTTCTTGTCTGCTGGTCCTTGGCATGAGGAACCCGAAATGCCTGGATAGCAGCCACAGCTTAAAGTTCAATGGGATTTTTGCCGAGTCCTCTGTTGGATACTTTCCCCCTTTGTAAACCAGGATCTTAAATCCACACAGCCTAGAGTTGTGGGGACAGGAAGCACAAATTCCCAAAGATAATTACTGGGAACGATGGTAAGCAGGATCCTTCTACTTCCATCTCTTGGTCTCCAGAACCATATATTCTACTTATTGAAGTCACGGCATTGTATTACTGCTGTTGCTTGTGTGCTGCACGGAATCATAGCATGTAAACTATGTCATGTGAAGAATGGTGGTCTATCCTCACAAGGTATCATCCTTGAGCTGGTGCCTCAGCTGTGACATCAATAGGCTGTCCCATCATTCTTTCAAACTGGGTGGTGTGATATGTCACAAGATCAGTGAATCCTATGGTCACGGGTCCATGGCCTCATATCCTTTACTGTGATATACTATTAAAGGGGCTCCAGTGTTGATGGATCAAACACTCTGTAAGCCATCAGATAGTGGTGCTGGCTTAGTTTTGGCTGCTATAACAGATTATCATAGACTGGGTGGCTTGAACAACCAACATTCATTTCTCATAATGTAGGGACTGGGAAGTCCAAGATCAAGGTGCTTGCTGATCCTGGGTCTAGTGAGGGGCCACTTCCTGGTTTACAGAGGGCCTGTCTTCTTGTATCCTCATAAGGCAGAGAGCAGAGATAGAAGGTAAGATCTTGTGTCTCTTCTTATGAGAGCACTAAACTCATTCATGAGAGCTCCACTCTAATGACCTAATTACCTCCCCAAAACCTCACGTCCTAAAACCTATCACATTATGAGTTAGGATTTCAACATACAAATATTGAGAAGACATAAACATTCAGTCCTACACTGGCTGAGGTCTTTAAGGTAGAAAAGGAAAACCTACCTGGAATGGCTATCTGTTCCAATGAAAATGAATTACTGCCTCTTCTAGGAAGGAAAAGTCCAAAGTAATCAACTTGTCACAAAGTGAATGGGTGGTGTTCTTGAGGGATGGTGCCACATTCAGGAGCTCATTGTTGGTATTTGTGGTTGAATATTAGGCTGTAGCAGTAGTTAGATTAGCCTTGATAAGTGGCAGACTATGCTGTTGAGCCCATGCATGGCTTCTGCCCCTGCCACCATGGCTATTCTAATCATGAGCTCATTGCACCAGCACTGGCATGCCTGATGACAGAGGCTGACTGATGTCAACAGAAAAAGTCATTGTGTTTACTTAATTGTTTAGTGTCACTTCTAGGCAGATGCTCTCTGGTGGGCATTAACATGCAATACAAAGATCTTTACACATTATGCCCACTCACAAATGTCCACATGAATGCCTCTACCACAGACCTTGTCCTAGTCCCCTTTTAGACCCTTGACAAGCAAGCCATGCTATTTACTACTGCCTGTACATATTCTTTTTTTTTTTTTTTTTTTTTTTGAGATGGAGTCTTGCTCAGTTGCCCAGGCTGGAGTGCAGTGGCGCGATCTCGGCTCACTGCAAGCTCCGCCTCCCAGGTTCACGCCATTCTCCTGCCTCAGCCTCCTGAGTAGCTGGGACTACAGGTGCCTACCACCATGCCTGGCTAATTTTTTCTTTTTTTTGTATTTTTAGTAGAGATGGGGTTTCACCATGTTAGCCAGGATGGTCTCGATCTCCTGACCTCGTGATCCACCCGCCTTGGCTTCCCAAAGTGCTGGGATTACAGGAGTGAGCCACCGCACCCGGCCCACTGCCTGTACATATTCTAACCACACAAAGGGGAAAGACTTGCCCATTGAGAGGGCTTATTCTCTCTACTTCATATCAAAGCTACCCTTGAGTGAGACATTTTTGGCTTAGCCCATATATCATGCCAACCCTTCTCTTAATCAACCCATTTGCCCCCTCCATCAGGCAGCCATAATGGGTGCCCCCGTATATAACCCATGAGGCCATAGATGTGAATCGAACAACAGGTACTGGTAGATGACACAGGTCTCTGGATCATCTGCTCATGCTGCTTTCTTGTGCTTCCCACTCTTGCTTTTACCCAGTCCCAGATATACCACTCCCATCTTATGATGGACTACTACAGGGCCCATTTAACCCTATGACTTGGTGAAACTGACATAACACGGCTCATGGTAGACAGTTGTGCTCCTTGTCTCTACTAGGGAGCTGTTTTGTGAATGATATATAATCCTCTGCCGTGGAAGGCATTGTCCTACTCTGGATCCTAGACAACTACATGACAATTCTTCTGTTGGGGCTTGTAAATAGCATGTTAATAACATCTACATGGCAATTCTTCTATTGAGACTTCTATTGGAAGAGACACTTCATGCAGTGTCATTTCTCACCACAGAGTCTGCCATTGCCACAGGCTGTGCATGTACCATCTATCAGGACTGCTTATACAACAGGACTGACTTTCTTCAGAAGGCTTTCCTGCAGTAGACCCTACTCAAAGTGAAGCTGGCAGCTTTTCATGTCAATTCAGTGTATTGACCAGAGCAGTATTCCTAGGTATGAAATATTGTTTTCAAAAGCCAAAGGTGAAAAATATGTAATTGTGCATCCTACTTTGTGGAGGGAGATGGGAGAGGGAAATAATTCCTTTCTTTTGAAAAGGATATTCAACTTTTACTAGACCACTGGCTCTCTATAAATTTCACTGATGATGTTTCACATTTCTGAAATTTTGGAGGATATTTCCCAACTCAGGAGTACATATGTCTTACTAAGGAGTCCAAAGAACTTGCCACTTCTTGTGTATTTGGTCAAATTAGCCATGATATCATTGATATAGTCGATGGTCCAGGTGTCTTTGGACTACATTACGACAGAGAGAAAGAGAATTAACAAAGTTCTTGGGCAAGCTTGTAAGCATCTACTTTTTTGCATTCCTAATGAATGCAAAATGTTTCTAATCCTCATTTTTTATATGGATAGAAAAGAATACTTTTAAAGCACATCCATGACTGCATTTCATATTCTGAAGTCACATTAATTTTCTTTAGCAAAGACACTACATCTCACACAACAGGTGCAATTGGAGCTGCTAACTGTGAGTTTGTCATAGTCATCCTCCAGGATCTCTTTGTCTCTCTTTTATTTTGTATTTTTTCAGTGATTATAATGTCTATTTTATTCATAATACAACTTTTATTTTAGATTCAGGGAATACATGTGCAAGTTTGTTACATGAATATATTGTGTGATGCTAAGGTTTGGGGTACAGATCCAATGACTCAAGTAGTGAGCATAGTACCCAAATGGTAGTTTTTCGACCTACACTCCCTTCCCTTCCTCCCTTCTCTTGTAGTCCCCAGTGTCTGCTGCTCCCATATTTATGTCCATGTGTATTCAAAGTTTAGCTCCCACTTATAAATGAGAACATACAGTATTTAATTTTCTGTTCCTGCATTAATTCACTTAGGATAATGGCCTCCAGCTGCATCCATGTTCCTGCAAAGGACATTTCATTCTTTTTTATGGCTGCATAGTATTCCATAGTGTATATGTATCACATTTTCTTATCCAGTCCACCATTGATGAGCATGTAGGTGGATTCCATGTCTTTACTATTGTGAATAGTGCTGTGATTAACATACAAGTGCATGTCTTTTTGCTAGAACAATTTATTTTCCTTTGAGAATACACCCAGTAATGGTATTGCTGGGTTGAATGGTAGCTCTGTTTCAAGTTATTTGAGAATCTCTAAACTTCTTTCCATGGTGGCTGAACTAATTTACATTCCCACCAACAGTGTTATAAGCATTCCCTTTTCTCCACAGCCTCATTAACATCTGTTATTTTTGACTTGTTAATGATAGCCATTCTCACTGATGTGAGATGGTATCTCATTGTGGTTTCGATTTGCATTTCTCTGATGATTAGTGATGTTGAGCATGTTTTCATATGTTTGTTGGCTGATTATATGTCGTCTTTTGAGAAGTGTCCGTTCATGTCATTTGCTCATATTATAATGAGGTTATTTGGTTTTTGCTTGTTGATTTGTTTAAGTTCCTTATATATTCTGGATATTATACCTTTGCTGAATGAATTGTTTGTAATATTTTCTCCCATTCTGTAAATTGTCTGTTTATTCTCTTAATAGTTTCTTTTGCTGTGCAAAAGCTCTTCAGTTTAATTAATTACATCACATAGGTCCATAACATATTTTTTTTGGTGTTGCAATTGCTTTTGGGGACTTAGCTAAAAATTCTTTGCCAAGGCCAACAAAAACAAGCAAAAAGGAAATAACTCCTTATTTAATAAATGGTGCTGGGATAACTGGCTAGCCCTATGCAGAAGAATAAAATTGGACACCTACCTTTCACCATATACAAAAATTAACCCAAGATAAATTAAAGATTTAAATGTAAGAGTTCAAACTATGAAAATGTTAGAAGCTAATCTAGGAAATACACTTCTTGACATTGGTCTTACCTCTCTTTTAATCAATGGGTTCTGGATCTGAAAAATGACTAAAGTTCAGAGCAATGAATTGTTACTTTTAATTTGGGTAGCGGCCCTTAGTTTCCTGATCCTTGATTTCTTTTTTTATTGTACTTTTAAAAATTGATACCTAATTTTTGTACATATTCATGGAGTACACGTGCTATTTTGTTCCATGTATGGACGTGTAATGATTAGGTAAGGGGTCAGGGTATTCAGAGTATTCATCCCTTTGAGTATGTATCATTTCTATGTGTGGGGAACATTGAAAATCTTCTCTTCTAGCTATTTTGAAATATACAATACATTGTTGTTGACCACTGTCACCCTACTCTGCTACTGAACATTATAACTTATTCCTTCTAATTGTATGTTTGCACCCATTAACCAACTTCTCTTCATTCACTCCACCCCCTACCCACCCACACATCCTTCCCAGCCTCTGATGTCTATCATTCTACTCTCTACTTTTATGATATCCACATTTTAAGCTTCCACATATGAGTGCGAACATGCAATATTTATCTTTCTGTGTCTGGCTTATTACATTTAACATAACAATCTCTTGTACCCTCCATGTTACTACAAATGATGTGATTGTATTCTTTTTTATGGCTGAATAGTATTCCATTTTGTATACATACCATATTTTCTTTTTCATTTACTCATTGATGGACACTTAGGTTGTTCCATATCCTTGCTATTGTGAATATGCTGTAATAAACATGCAAGTGTGGGTATCTCTTTGATATACTGACTGTATTCCCCTTGGATAAATACCCAGTAGTAGGAATGCTGAATCATATGTAGTTTTACTTTTAGTTTTTAGAGAAATCTTTATTCTGTTTTCCATAGGACCTGGATTAATGTACATTCCAATCAATAGTATATAAGTCTTCCCTTTTCTCTGCATTTTTGCCATAATCTGTTTTTTTTTGTCTTTTTAATAATAGTCATTCTAACTGATTAAATGATATCTCTTTGTCGTTTTGATTTGCATTTTTTTGATGATTGGTGAGTTAAACATTAGTGATGTTGTGCCTGGTTTATTATGCTTAACATAATGACTTCCAGTACCATCTATGTTGCTGCAAATGCCATGATTTAGTTCTTTTTCATATACCTGTTGACCATTTGTATGTCTTCTTTTGAAAAATGCCTATTTATGTTCTTTGTCTAGTTTTTAATAGGATTATTATTTTTTTCTTACTGCTGAGTTGTTTGAGTTCCTTGTATACTCTGGATATTAGTCTCCTATCACATGCATAGTTTTGCAAATATTTTCTCCTATTTAACAGGTTATCTCTTCACTCTGTTGATTGTTTCTTTTGCTATACAGAAGGTTTTTAGTTTAATATAGTTCCGTTTGTCTAGTTTTTTTTTGTTGTCTGTGTTTCTAAGGTTTTAACCATATAATCTTTGCCCACACCAATGTTCCAAGGTATTTTTCCTATGTTTTCTTCTAGTAGTTTTATAGTTTAGGGTCTTATATTTAAGTCTTTAATCCATCTTGAGTTGATTTTGTATATGGTTAGAGATAGGGGTCCAGCTTCATTCTTCTGCATATGGATATCCAGTTTTCCCAGTACTATCTGTTGAAGAAGGTATCCTTTCCCCAATGCATATTCTTGATACCTTTGTCAAAAATTAGCTGGCTTTAACAATGTAGATTTATTTCTGGGTTCTCTATTCTGTGCCATTGGTCTATATGTCTGTTTTTATACCAATAACATGTTGTTTTGGTTACTATAGCCTTGTAATATATTTTGAAGTCAAGTAGTGTAATGCCTCTATCTTTTATTCTTTGTTCAGAATTGCATTGTCTATTCTGGCTCTTTTTTGTTCCATAAGAATTTTGGGATTGCTTTTTCCACTTCTGTGAAAAATGGCACTGGTACTTTCATAGGGATTGCATTGAATCTGTAGATTGCTTTGTGTAGTATGTTCATTTAAACAATATAAATTCTTCTGATCATAAGTATGCGATATCTGTTTGTTTGTTTTGGCATTCTTCAAGTTCTTTCATCAGTGTTTTATAATGTTCTTTACAGGGGAATTTCACCTCCTTAGTTAAATTTATTCTTAGGGTTTTTTTTCTGTAGCTATTGTAAACCAGATTGCCTCCTTGATTTCTTTTTCAAATAGTTCATTATTAGTGTATAGGAACATTTCTATTTTTGTATGTTGATATTGTATCCTGAAATTTTACTGAATTAATTTATCAGGTTTAAGAGTTTTTTTTTAGTGGAATCTGTAGGTTTTCTAGATATATGATCATATTATCAGCAAAGATGGACAATTTGACTTTCTCTTTTCCAGTTAGGGTACATTTTATTTTTTTCTTTTGCCCAACTGCTCCGGCTAGAAGTTCTAGTTCTTTGTTGAATAGGAGTGATGAAAATGGGCATCCTTGTCTTGTTCCAGTTCTTAGAGAAAAGGCTTTCAGCTTTTCCCCATTGAGTAGGATGTTGGCTGTTGGTTTTTCATCTATGATTTTTCTTATGTTGAGGTATATTGCTTCTATGCCTAGTTTGATGAGAGCTTTTATCATAATGTCATTTTTTATCAAATACTTTTTCTGTGTCTATTGGATGATCAAATGGGTTTTTCTTTTATTATATTGATATGATATGTTACATTTATTGATTTTTGTATGTTGAATCTCCTTGAATGTCTGGGATAAATCCTGCATAATCATGGCATATTATCTTTTTGATGTGCCATTGGATTTTGTTTGTTAGCATTCTGTTGAGAATTTTTGCATCTATGTTAATTAGAGATATTGGCCTGTAGTTTTCTTTTTTTTATTGTGTCCTTATCTGGTTTTGGTATCAGGGTAATGCTGGCCTGGTAGAATGAGTTAGAGAGAACTTCCTCCTCTGCTCCTCTGTGATTATTTGGGATAGTTTAAGGAGAATTGGTGTTTATTCTTTTTTGAAAGTTTAGTCGAATTTGGCAGTGAAGCCATCTGGTCCTGGACTTTTCCTTGTTGGAAGATTTTTGTTGCTGACTCAACCTCTTTACTCATTGTTGATCTGTTCAGGCTTCCTATTTCTTCCTAATTCAATCTTGGTATATCTTATGTGCCGAGGAATTTATTTATTTCCTCTAGATTTTCCAGCTTGTTATTCTATAATTGTTTATAGTGTTCTCTGATGATCTTTTGTATTTCCGTGATGTCAGTTGTAATGTCTCCTTGTTCATTTCTAATTTTGTTTACTTGAATCTTCTCTCCTTTTTCTTGGTTAGTCTAGCAAGTGATTTATTGATTTTCTTCAACTTTTCAACACACCAAATTTTCATTTCACTTATCCATTGTATTTTTCTCTTAGTTTCCATTCTGTTTAGTTCTACTCGGACCTGCATTTTTTTCTTTACTAATTTCAACTTGGTTTGTTTTTGCTTTTCCAGTTTCTTTTAAATGCAATGTTAGATTATTTATTTGAAACCTTTCTACTTTTTGATGTGGGTTTCATTGCTATAAACTTTCCTCTTTTCGCAGCTTTTGCTGAATCTTATAGTTTTTGGTATGTAGTGTTTTCATTTTGTTTTTTTTTTAATTATTATTATGCCTTAAGGTCTGGGTACATGTGCAGAACCTGCAGGTTTGTTACATAGGTATACACATACCACAGTGGTTTGCTGCACCCATCAATCTGTCACCTACATTAGGTATTTCCCTTAATGCTATCCTTCCCCTAACCCCCCACCCCACAACAGGCCCCAGTGTGTGATGTTCCCCTCCCTGTGTCCATGTGTTCTCACTGTTCAAGTCCCACTTACGAGTGAGATCATGCGGTGTTTGGTTGTGGAGTTTGGTTTTCTGTTCTTGTGGTAGTTTGCTGAGAATAATGGTTTCCAGCTTCATCCATGTCCCTGCAAAGGACATGAACTCATCCTTTTTTATGGCTGCATAGTATTCCATGGTGCATACATGCCACATTTTCTTTATCCAATCTATCATTGGTGGGCATTTGGGTTGGTTCCAAGTCTTTGCTATTGTGAATAGTGCTGCAAAAAACATATGTGTGCATGTGTCTTTATAGTAGAATGATTTATAATCCTTTAGGTATATACCCAGTAATGGGATTGCTGGGTCAAATGGTATTTCTAGCTGTAGATCCTTGAGGAATCACCACATTGTCTTCCACAATGGTCGAACTAATTTGGACTCCCTCCAACAGTGTAAAGGCATTCCTATTTCTCCACATCCTCTCCAGCATCTGTTGTTTCCTGACATTTTAATGATGGCCATTCTAACTGGCATGAGATGGTATCTCATTGTGGTTTTGATTTACATTTCTCTAATGACAGTGATGATGAGCATTTTTCATATGTTTGTTGCCTGCATAAATGTCTTCTTTTGAGAAATGTCTGTTCATATCCTTTCCCCACTTTTTGATGGTGTTGTTTGTTTTTTTCTTGTAAATTTGTTTATGTTCCTTGTAGATTCTGGATATTAGCCTTTTGTCAGATGGATAGATTGCAAAAATTTTCTCCCATTCTGCAGGTTGCCTGTTCACTCTGATGAGAGTTTCTTTTGCTGTGCAGAAGCTCTTTAATTAGTTCCCATTTGTCAATTTTGGCTTTTGTTGCAATTGCTTTTAGTGCTTTAGTCATGAAGTCTTTGCCCATGCCTATGTCCTGAATGGTATTGCCTAGGTTTTCTTCTGGGGTTTTTATGGTTTTAGGTCTTACATTTAAGTCTGTAATCCTTCTTGAGTTAATTTTTGTATAAGGTGTAAGGAAGGGGTCCAGTTTCAGTTTTCTGCATGTGGCTAGCCAGTTTTCCCAACACCATTTATTCAATAGGGAATCCTTTCCCCATTGCTTCTTTGTGTCAGGTTTGTCAAAGATCAGATGGTTGTAGATGTGTGGTGTTATCTCTGAGGCCTCTGTTCTGTTCCATTGGTCTATATATCTGTTTTGGTACCACTACCATGCTGTTTTGGTTGCTGTAGCCTTGTAGTCTAGTTTGAAGTCAGGTGGCGTGATGCCTCCAGCTTTGTTCTTTTTGCTTAGAATTGTTTTGGCTATGTGGGCTCTTTTCTGGTTCCACATGAAGATTAAAGTAGTTTTTTTCCAATTCAGTGAAGAAAGTCAATGGTAGCTTGATGGGGATTGCATTGAATCTATAAATTACTTTGGGCAGTATGGCCATTTTCATGATATTGATTCTTCCTATCCATGAGCATGGAATGTTTTTCCATTTGTTTGTGTCCTCTCTTATTTTCTTGAGCAGTGGTTTGTAGTTCGCCTCAAAGAGGTTCTTCACATCCCTTGTAAGTTGTATTTCTAGTTATTTTATTCTCTTAGTAGCAATTGTGAATGGGAGTTCACTCATGATTAGGCTCTCTGTTTGTCTGTGATTGGTGTATAGGAATGCTTGTGATTTTTGCACATTGATTTGGTATCCTGAGACTTTGCTGAGGTTTCTTATCAGCTTAAGGAGATTTTGGGCTGAGATGATGGGGTTTTCTAAATATACAATCATGTCATCTGCAAACAGAGACAATTGAACTTCTCTTTTCCTATTTGAATACCGTTTATTTCTTTCTTTTGCCTGATTGCCCTGGCCAGAACTTCCAATACTATGTTGAATAGAAGTGGTGAGAGAGGGCATCCTTGTCTTGTGCCAGTTTTCAAAGGAATGCTTCCAGCTTTTGCCCATTCAGTATGATATTGGCTATGGGTTTGTCATAAATAGCTCTTATCAACCATACCACCCTAAATGCAGCCGATTTCTTCTGATCTCAGAAGCTAAGCAGGGTTGGGCCTGGTTAGAACTTGGCTGAAAGACCACCTGGGAATACCGGGTGCTGTATTTCATTTGTTTTAAGAATTTTTTTACTTGCTTCCTAATTATTTAATTTACCTAATGGTCATTCCGGAACATATTGTAAAATTTTCATGTATTTGTATAGTTTCCAAAGTTCTTTTTAATATTGATTTCTAGTTTCATTCCACTGTGGTTTGAGAAGATACTTGATATAATTTGGATTTTTAAAAACTGATTGAGACTTGTTTTGTGGCCTAACATATGGTCTACCCTGAAGAATGTACCATGTGCTGGTAAAAAGAATGTGTATTCTGCAGTTGTTAAATGAAATGTCCTGTATACGTTATAGGTCCATCTATTGTATTAGAGTTATCTCTCCCTTTAAATCTGATAATATTTGTTTTATACATCTGGGTGATCTGATGTTCAGTGTATAAACACACAAAGACACCCAAATCTTTCTTTTTCTTTCTCTCTTTCTTTCTCTTTCTTTCTTTCTTTCATCTATTTATCATCTCACCCTACATACATATA
The DNA here is from genome assembly GCF_000001405.40 of Homo sapiens. Taxonomy (NCBI): domain Eukaryota; kingdom Metazoa; phylum Chordata; class Mammalia; order Primates; family Hominidae; genus Homo; species Homo sapiens. Next base: position 117,061,286 of record NC_000006.12, read on the forward strand.
TATGTATATATGTGTACCCAATTCTTTATTCTATATATGTAGATATTATTATTATATTCTCTTGTTTTATCTTACATAAGTACAGCTATTCCTGTTTGCTTTTTGTTTCTGTTTACATGGAATATTTTTTTTCCATTTCTTTTCTTGCCATCTATGTGCGTCTTTACAGGTGAGGTAAAGTTTCTTGTAGGCAGCATAGAGTTGGGTTGTGCTTTTTTTAAAATCCATTCAGCCAGTCTATACCTTTCGAGTGGAAAGTTCAATCTATTTATGTTCAAGGTTATTGAAATGTAAGGACTTATTCCTATTCTTTTGTTACTTGTTTTCTGTGTCTGTGTGTGTTCCCTTTGTTTTTTCTTTCTCTCTTATTTTTTTCATTTTAGTTTGATGGTTTTCTGTAGAGGTAATATTTTAGTTCTTTCTCTTTCTTATTTGCTTGTTTACTCTACCAGTAGGTTTCATATTTTCATGTGTTTTTATGATGGTATCATTGTTTTACATACCCTTTGTTTCTTTCTTTCTCTCTTATTGTTTATCATTGTGGTTTGGTGGTTTTCTGTAGTGGTAACATTTGGACTTTTACCTATTTGTGTGTTTGTTCTACCAGTGGGTCTTATTCTTTCATGTTTTTATGATGATATTGTCCTTTTGCTTCCAGGTGTAGGACTCCCTTCTGCATTTCTTATAGGGCACATCTAGTGATAAATTCCCTCAGCTTTTGATCATCTTGGAAATACTTTATTTCTCCTTCATTTATGAAGGATAATTTTAGTTATAGTATCCTAGATTAGCAGGGCTTTTTTCTTTCAGCACTTTGTATATATTGTTCTATTCTCTTCTGGCCCATAAGGTTTCTGCTAAGAGATTTGCTATTAGTCAGATGGAGGTTCCCTTATAATTGACTAGATGCTTTTCTCTTGCTGTTTTTTAAAAATATCTGTTTTGACTTTTGATATTTTAACCATAACGTGCCATGGAGAAGACATTTTTGGGTTGTATGTATTTGGGGATCTCTGAGTTCCCTGTATCGGTATGCTATATGTCTAACTCTCTTGCCAGACCTGGGAAGTTTTTGGCTATTATTTTATTATATAGGTTTTCTATCTCATTGGTTTTCTCTTTGCCTTCTGGAACACCAAATAGTTAAACATTTCACCATATTGTGGTATTCCATATGTCATGTAAGCTTTGTTAATTTTTTTATTGTTCTTTTTTCTTTATTTTTGTCTAACTGGGTTATTTCAAAAGGCCATCTTCAAGTTCTGAGAGTCTTTCTTCTACTTGACCTAGTCTACTGTTGAAGCTCTTTTATGTATTTTTTATTTCATTCAATGAATTATTCAGTTTCAGAATAATTTCCATTTGATTCTTTTTTTATATGTATCTCTTTGGTAAATTTCTCATTTATACCCTGATATGTTTTTCTGATTCTTTATATTACTTATCTGTGTTCTCTTTTATCTCATTGGGCTTCTTTAATATCATTATTTTGAATTATTTTTCTGGCATTTCAAAAATTTTTTCCATTGGAATCTTTTGCTAGAGAATTATTGTGTTTCTTTGGAGGTGTCATGTTTCCTTGTTTTTTTCATGTTTCTGTGCCCTTATATTGATATATGTGCATTGGGTGTAGTAGTTGCTTTTTGTAGATTTTTGGATTTGCTTTCATAGGGGAGGACTTTCTTCTGGAGATATATTTATAGTGTTGGTTAGGTAGGGCACTTTGGCTTTGATTCTGAGTGTGCGTAGTAGTAGTATAGTTCTTGGATAATTTCTTTGGCTGTAAACAGTGTCTGTGTTGTCTGTGATTGCCTCAGTAGGTTAGGGTGCAGTTGTGAGTGCAGGCTGTGGTAAAGTTTTTCTGGGGAGAGGGATGTCAGATGAACCAGTCCTCAGGCCCCAGTGGTGACAGCAATAGGCCAAGCATGCTTATCCTTTGACCCCAGGGTGGTATGCACCAGCACCATTGTTAGCACATCCAGATAGGCCAATTATTGAACCTCCAGGTGGCTTGCTTGGGTACTAACTGTGGCAGTGGTGGGCCAGGTGGGTGGGCAGGTCTTCAGGTCTCTGGGAAGTAGGTGTGGCATGGACAATGGCAGGACAACCCTCTGGTTCCCATGTGGTCCATGGTGGTGTTGGCAGTGGCTGTGATGGACTGAGCATTTGTACTCTTTTGTCTTGTGTTGGTATCAGTGTGATAGTGGCCCTTTGTGCTGCCTTGTCAGGTCCTAGGGTTCTATCGACTATAATTTCCAGAAAAGCAGAGTTTTGGTATCCTGCTTACTGTGCCAAAACTGTGACGGCCAAAGGAAAACTTCCCCTTCGTCCTCTGAAGGTTGGTTGAAAAATCAACTGGATATGCAGTACCATGTTCCCAGGAACTGATCCTTGTTTTCTTTTGGTTCTGTAGATTGAACAATATCAGTGTTTGGCTACCCATCTATCTTTCCTTCAGTGACACCGTGTTCTATCAACTATCTCTGTAGCTCTTTTCAATTTAGGTCCCTCTAGCTATGTGTTATATCCTGTAAGCTACCTGGCTGTGCTCTATTGTATATACTAAATGACATGACTTGTGCCCCCCATATTCATAGGTAGAAGGCTTAATCCACAATGTGACTGTATTTGAAGATAGGACTTTTGGGTAGTAACTAAAGTTGAATTATTTCATAAAGGTGGGGGCTCTAACCTAATAGTTAGTGTCCTCTTAAAAAGGAAGAGATACCAGAGATCTCTCCACCCCCTACCCCATGTGCACATAGAGGAAAGGCCATGTGAAGACACAGTGAGAAGGTGGCTATCTGCAAGCAGGAAGAAAGCCCTCACCAGACACTGAATTTGTTGGCTCCTTGATCATGGACTTCTAGCCTCCAGAACTGTGAGGAAATACATTTCTGTTGTTTAAGCCCCACAGCCTGTGATATTTTGTGACAGCAGCTTGAGCAGACAAATCCACTACTATTCTGACTGCTGCTCATTATGCCTGCCTTGCTCTTGAAAGTTAAGTCCTGCCTCCCTGTCACTACTATTTTGGGATCCCATCTTTCCATTATTATTAGTGAGCCCAGTGTCTCCTGCCATCAGCCCTGTCCTCCAAGTAGAGCACCATCAAGCTCTCAATGATGCCTGTTCCTTTTTCACCTGTGCAGCCCTCCTGCTTTGATAAACCATGTTCTCTGTGCTCTCCCACAGAATGTGATCACTCTTTTTTCCCCTGAACTTACATGGTGTGTCCACCTTACCTGTCCACTTCTCTGAGCCTTTTATCCCTTTTCCATCATCTGCCATGGCAACTCTGGTATATAAGTTAGCCATATAAATTTACTTGATTCCTACTGTCATCTAACTCATCCGTGTTAGAGTCCTATGTAGTTTACTACTGTTGAACAGACATTTCAACACTTCCTCCTTATGACTTGCCTTCCTTTAAAATCAAACTTTTATGTAGAACTTTCTCATACATCCTGTCCTCACGGTAGCTATTCATACTTATTGAGTTGCATGTTAACCCTCAGAGGCCCCATGAGAGGATGTATTAGTTACTTAGGACTGCCTTATCAAACTACCACAAACTGGGTGGCTTAAAACAACTGTCATTGTTTTCTTCACAGTTCAGAAGGCTAAAAGTCCCAAATCAAGGTATTGGCAAGACCATGCTCCTGTTGAAACCTGTAGGGAAATCCTTCCTTGCCTCCTTCTATTGACAGTGATTTGCTATCAATCTTTGGCATTCCTCGGCTTGCAGCTGCCTACTCCAGTCTCTGCTTTCATCATCATACGGTGTTTTCCCTATGTGTCTTTCTCTCTTTCCATCAACTTCTTTATAAGGACACTAGTCAAATTGGGTTAGGGGCTCACCCTGCTTCAGTAGGACCTCACTTCAATTACATCCATAGTAAACCTCCTTTCACATACGGTCACATTCTGAGGTACTGGGAGTCAGGACTTCAAGATATCTTTTCAGGGGAAAGGTACATAATTCAACCTATAACAAGAGGGAACTGGTAAAGAAGATTTAATTAGATCTGACTCTAAACTGTAACTTCCATCCCCGCCACCCCCTCCCTCCCCCCACACATTTCAAAATAAAGCACTCTATTTTTATTCAATTTACATATTGGGGTTTTGCCCAAGCATTTATTTGAAGAAAAGATTCCTAAAAAGAAAATTAATGAGCCAAATAATCTTCCTGATTCACCAATAAAATCTCTTATTTAACAACTCAGAAACTGAGATCATATGACCTAGTTTAAATCCCAATTTAACCAGTTATTGCTTTTTGAACATGAGAAAGTTACCTAAGTTTTCTAGAACTCACTTTCTTATTTGTAAAGTGGCATAACTATTATCTACTTCAGAGGGTTGCTATAAGTATTTAAGTATTTATACAATGAGATAATTTAAGTAAAGTGCTTAGCACTGTATCCAGCTCACAAAAGCCATTTGCTCTTTTTTTTAATTTTCTTTTTTTAGTTTTAATTTTTTGGGTACATAGTTGGTGTATATCTTTATGGGTCACATGAGATATTTCGATATAGGCATGGAATGCATAATATTCACATTACGATAAATGGTATATCCATCATCTCAAGTATTTATCTTTTATGTTAAAAACAATCCAATTATAGTCTTTTATTTATTTTAAAATGTACAATTAAATCTTTGTTTACTATAGTCATCCTGTTGTGCTAGCAAATACTAGGTCTTATTCATTCTTCCTAACTATTTTTTTGTACCCATTAACCATCCATCACTTCCTTCCCACCAATCCCCCACTACCCTTCCTAACCTCTGGTTACCATCCTTCTACTCTCTATCTCCATGAGTTCAATTATTTTAATGGTTATTTCCCACAAATAAGTGAGAACATGTGAAGTTTCTCTTTCTGTGCCTATCTTATTTCACTTAACATAATGACCTTCAGTTCCATCCATGTTGTTGCAAATGATGGGATCTAATTCTTCTTTATGACCGAATAGTACTCATTGTGTTGATGTATCACATTTTCTTTATCCATTCATCTGTTTATAGACACTTAGGTTGCTTCCAAATCTTGGCTATTGTGAATAATGCTGCAACAAACATGGGAGTGCAGATATCTCTTTAACGTACTGATTTCCTTTCTTTTGGGTATCTACCTAGGAGTGGGATTGCTGGATCATATAAATTACCATTAGCTATTAATATTTTATTTTCCCAATGTTGAAATATGTGATCAATAGGAATAAACTACAGAGAACTCTGACAAAAATGGGTTAGGTGGCATAACAGAGTCAAGCAAATGTATGTGGGTAACTTAAAAATTGAATCAGACTAACAACATGAGAGTATCTGACACAAAAAAAGGAATTCACAAGCTTTGTAAGCCAAAGTCGCACACACTGGCTCACTCTACTCCTGCAGTCAAAGCTGCCCACCAAATGCTATAAAACACTGGAAAGGTATTGGAAGCAAATGGGAAATCACCCTTGCTCCCATGTAAGGAAAGCCTCCTACTTACCTCTAAAGAGGAAATGGCAAAGAAGTGAGAAGATAATCAAAGCCCAAAGCCAGCACTAAGGTGAGGCAAGGGAGGTGCTTAGGGCACAGAGTTTAAAGAGGAGCTCACTCTCAGGGTCTGCAAGTACCAACCCTGCATCTGTAGGATGCTAGAGTGAGTGCCTCCTTACGTGTGGGCACCATGAGGCCAGGAAGTCTTCTAAAAGGAAGGAGAATTTACCCAGTCTAAGAGAAAACTGACATTCTAGGAAAGACAGTGGTGCAGCAGTTGAAAAGTTGATTCAGTAGACAACAAGCAAGTTTGTATGTTTGAAAAAAAAAAGATTTTTTCTGGGAAACCATAAGTCTGAAAAAGCAGGTTGGGTCTGGGGTAGAGTACCTTTGAATGTCATTTTTATTATTCTTGATTTGATGCACATTTTTGTAAATAAAGTTTTAAATTTTTGTAAATAAAGGAACCCATGCCCACTTGTCTAAATGTGATCTATGGCTGTTTTCACATTATAACAGCAGAGTCCAGTAGTTGCACCAGGGACAGGTAAGGCCCTCAGGTCATTTCCAAAAAGAGTTTACTGGCCTCTGCTCTAAGTAACTGAAAGATGCCAGCTTATTTCTTATTTGCAGAATAATATATAATAATGACAGAAAATTATACTCAATTAAAATTTCATGAATTTCAAATTGTATTGATAAAATAAATCCAAGAACAAAGACAATAAATGGTAAGATTTTTTTATTTAGAAGTACAGCAGAAACAGCAGAATTTTCTTTATATGTCTTGCAGAGGTCTGGCCTTTGGGGGCGGGGCTAGGGTCTAGATTATTTGCCATAGAAAAGTGATACATTTTAAGTGAAAAATAAATGCTGTACAGAGGACACTAGTCATTGAGGAATAGAATGATTCCAAGACTTGGTGGAGTTCCTTTGTTTTGTACTGAAAGCACAGGGACTTTAGGAATATGTTACCTAACCTGGCAACTTAATCCTTTCCCTGCTGCTTCTAAAAGTCAGTTTTCTTCTTAGCTTGAATTAGGCCATGGTAACAAAAACAAAGGCTTTACCTTGAGGTTCTGTAGGTAAAGCAGAGCTGAGTTATGTGACAAGGCTAACTAGGTAATTATGTGTTTTGTCTTCCAAGGTTTTCTCCTGACACCAGCAATAAGGGTGGAATTGACTCAAAAGAGAGATGTGATTGAAAGGGATTACATTTCTTTTCTAAACACAGAATTCATTTATTTAAAAATGAATAAAATCTTCAAAGTTAGTGTACATTTTGTTTTCTTTAAATCCTCAACCCATAATTGCAAGCAAACACAAAACAAAACAAGGGGAAATCAGCAAAAGAAAAAAATCTAAACATGACCAACAGTGCAATTTGTATTTTCTCAAGTCCCAAACTTGGTGTGAAGATAAACTCATGATCTCTAAACAACTCTAATAATTATAATAAACTAATAAGCTCCAAAGTCGGATTATAAAAGGATAAAGCATTGGAAATCTACTTTTCAAAAAAAATTAAATATAAATTGGTACTAAAGGAAATAGTGATAACAATGAAGCTTGCTTTAAAATCAGTTTGGTGTATATTTTTCTTATTACAAAATATTACATATTTCATTTAAAAGTATTTGTTTAAAGTACAGATAACCAAAAACAAAGAAACTGTAATTTCACAGTGTAAGTCTACAACTTATAGATAACCACACCTGACATTGTGCCTGCCACTCACTGAGAAGAATATGGAATAAAAAATTACAGAAAAATATGAGAGTGAAAAACTGGAAACAATCTCACGTCAAACACTAAGGAATGAAAGATTGAGTCAATGTGACATATCTGAAGTACATAAAGTTATGCCTATATTATAGCCATTTTTTCAAGAAATCTTAGTGGTATTGGCAAATTTTCACAATATAAAATAAATGTAAAAAACCTGATACAAATTTGCATATATAATTTGCATATACAATTTGTATTATAGGTTGAATTGTGTCCCCTAAAATTCACATTGACATCCTAACCCTCAGAACCTCCGAATGTGAGCTTATTTGGAAATAAGGTTGTTGTAAATGTCATTGGTTAAGATGATGTGATACTGGGGTAGGGTGGGCCACTAATTCAATATGACTAGTTTACTTACAAAAAGGGGAAATCTGGGTGGGCATGGTGGCTCATGCCTGTAATATCAGCATTTTGGGAAACTGAGGTGGGTAGATGGCTTGAGCCCAGGAGTTTGAGACCAGCCTAGGCAACATGTCAAAACCTAATCTCTACAAAAACACAAAAATTAGCCAGGCATGGTAGGGTGCTCCTGCAGTTCCAGCTACTCAGGGGGCTGAGGTGGGAGGATCACTTGAGCTTGAGAGGTCAAGCTGCAGTGAGGCGTGATTGTGCCACTGCACTCTGGTCAACAGAGTGAGATCCTGTCTCAATAAAAAGTGGGGTGGTGAACCTGGAGGCAGATACCCACACAGGAAGAAACCTATGAAGGCAGAGATCAAGACAATGCTTCTCTGCACCAAGGAACACAAAGACTGCGAGCAAACCACCAGGAGCTAAGGGAGAGACCTAGAACAGCCCTCAGAAGAAACCAGCCTTACAGACACCTTGATTTTGGGCTTCTAACCTCTAGAACCTCTAGAACTGTGAGACAGTAAATTTCTCAAAGTTGTTTAAGCTACTCCACAGCTGCAGGAAACTAATACATATAGTATCAATTGAATTTTGCTATGAAGTCCTGTGTGTGTGTGTGTGTGTGTGTGTGTGTGTGTATGATTTTCTCAGTGACTCTTTCTGGTCACTTCTTCCCTGGTGACTCTATGTACAATTTTTATCAAATATATGGTCTTCAATATATGTATCTGTCTTAAATATATATATATATATATATAATATATATATATATATATATTATATATATATATATTTTAATTGTTTTGGGGGAACAGGTGATTTCTGATTACATGGATAAGTTCTTCAGTGGTGATTTCCAAGATTTTGGTGCATTCATCACCCAAGCAGTGTACACTGTACACAATGTGTAGTCTTTTATCCTCACCTCTTCCACCCTTCCCTCCAAGTCCCGAAAGTCCATTATATCATTCTTATACTTTTGTGTCCTCGCAGCTTACCTTTCCACTTGTAAATGGGAACATACAATATTTGATTTTCCATTTCTGAGTTCCTTCACTTAGAATAATGGTCTCCAACTGCATCCAGGTTGCTGTGAATACCATTATTTTATTCCTTTTTATGGCTGAGTAGTATTCCATGGTATGTATATACTATACTTTCTTTGTTTTTCTTTTTTTTTTTTTTTTTAGATGGAGTCTGGCTCTGTCTCCCAGGCTGGAGTCCCGTGGCTTGATCTCAGTTCACTGCAAGCTCCGCCTCCTGGGTTCCCGCCATTCTCCTGCTTCAGCCTCCCGAGTAGCTGGGACTACAGGTGCCCACCACCACGCCCAGCTAATTTTTTTTTTTTTTTTTTTGTATTTTTTAGTAGAGACGGAGTTTCACCATGTTATCCAGTATGGTCTCGATCTCCTGACCTCGTGATCTGCCTGCCTTAGGCTCCCAAAGTGCTGGGATTACAGGCATGAGCCACCGTGCCCGGCCACCACACTTTCTTTATCTAGTTTTTGGTTGATGGGCATTTAGGCTGGTTCCATATTTTTGCAATTGCCAATTGTGCTGCTGTCAACATGCATGTTTAAGTGTATTTTCCTTATAATGACTTCTTTTCCTCTGGGTAGATACCGAGTAGTGGGATTTCTAGATCAAATGGTAGTTTTACTTTTAGTTCTTTAAGGAATCTCCATCCTGTTTTCCATAGTGGTTGTACTAGTTTACATTCCCATCAACAGTGTAAAACTGCTCCCTTTTCACCACATCCATGCCAACTTCTATGTTTTAAAAAATTATTTAATATGAGCTATTCTTGCAGGAGTAAGGTGGTATCTCATTGTGGTTTTGATCTGCGTTTCCCTGACAATTAGTGATGTTGAGCATCTTTTCATGTTTGTTGGCCATTTGTGTATCTTCTTTTGATAACTGTCTATTCAAGTCCTTTGCCCACTTTTTAATGAGATTATTGGCCTTTTTCTTGCTGATTTGTTTGAGTTTCTTGTAGATTTTGGATATTAGTCCTTTGTCAGATGCATAGTTTGTGAAGATTTTCTCTCATGCCATGGGTTGTCTGTTTACTCTGCTGATTATTTCTTTTGCTGTGCAGAAGCTTTTTAGTTTAATTAGGTCCCATCTAGTTATTTTTGTCTTTTGTTGCATTTGCTTCTGGGTTCTTGGTCATGAAGTCTTCGCTTAAGCCAAGATCTAGAAAAATTTTTCCTATGTTGTCTTCTAGAATTTTTATGGTTTCAAGTCTTAGATTCAAGTCTCTGATCCATCTTGAGTTGATTTTTTTATATGATGAGAATTAGGATCCAGTTTCATTCTTCTAAATGTGGCTTGCCAACTATCCCAGCACCATTTTTTGAATAGGGTGTCTTTTCCCCACTTTATGTTTTTGTTTGCTTTGTTGAAGATCAGTTGGCTGTAAGTATTTGGTTTTATTTCTGTGTTCTCTATTCTGTTCCATTTGTCTACATGCCTATTTTTATACCAGTACCATGCTGCTTTGGTAGCTATAGCCTTGTAGTTTTGCTTGAAGTTGGGCAATATGATGCCTCCAGATTTGTTGTTTTCACTTAGTCTTGCTTTGGCTATGTGGGCTCTTTTTTGGTTCCATATGAATTTTAGGATTCAACATCGTATATATTTTATAAATTTATCTTTTCCATTGCTTTTTCCCTATTGGACTGTAAACCCCACAGAAGCAGGGATTTTTACCTTTTCATTCTGTGATGTTTCTGTGTACTTAGAACAGTGCCACAGGATAGAGATAGACACTCCAAAAATATTCAATAAACAAGTAAATGAATGGAAAATAATTTAAATAAGAAATAAACTATAATGTTAAAATAGTTTTCTCTGGGTAGTGAGATTGAGATTTATTGGTTTGAGGGTTTTCAAATGATCTACATATAATATTATTGTAATCACAGAAAAATAACATTTTTAAAAAGCAAAGTAGAGAAAGTGAATAATGTAAAAGGTTAGAACAAAAGTCATCAGTTTCATTATACTTGCACATTTTTTATGCCTAACTGTGCAACACAGTATTAAGAAATAGTTTTGTCAGTTGTCCTATTATTTGCACTGAAGCAGCTTATGTATTTACATGTTACCAAATTCTAGAAGTGCAAAGGGTACCCATTTTTGTAAGGAAGCTATGGAGAACAGTTATTTCAAAAAATTAAATTGACTTTCGGAATTAAAGCCCTGTTGCATTCATCACATCATGTAATTGTCATTCTTAATCTGATGGGGCTATAGAATCCCACATTTCTACACCTGGTTTACTAGTAACCCATGTGTACAAATTCTTCTGTGATCCACATGCCCACTCACCTAGGAAAGCTCCCTGCTGTTGGCATGGAGCCACCAATGTGCCGGGCACTGAGCCAGGTACTTAGTCTACACTGAGAGATGTTCACTCATCCTCTGGAACGAATCAGAATAGGCCAGGATTACTACACAGATAATCACTAAACAGAGAAGTGTGTGTGTTAAACAGTCCAAGAAAGACACAAACAAAAGTATTTTTTAGGCAGAGGCAGCAATCAGGGAGATCAGACAAATACTTTATGATATCCCCCACTCAGAGTACCTCAGAGGCTTTCCACCACCTTCCAGAAGCCAGTATGGCATTCAAGGAAATATATTCTCTGATCTCATCCAACCTTCCCACTATTATCTCTTCTAAGTAGGTTCCCTGTTGCTCTAGCCATGCAGTCTGTTTTCTATCCCACTCCTGAATTTTCTCTGACCCCAGTTTTATTTATTGTACCCTCTTTTCCTCAGAAGTAAAATTATGCTTGTCCGATAATGCACTTGATGTAGGGGTTGAGAAATGAATTGCTATGCTCATGGCCTTCCTGCCAGGGCCTGATCGTTCCTTTCTCCCTTTTGCTTCAAAGTCAAAGGCAGATAAAGCCCTGGGAAGGTGGAGTAACATGATCTCCCTTCAGGGCTGCCACGGCGGGAGGTTGAATGCCTGAGCATTCCCTCTGAAGAGGATGGGTTGCTGGTCGCACATTGAAGTGCAGGAAAGATCCTTCCCTGAGAGGACCCATTCTTCAAGGTTCTGTCCAGAAGGAACCTCCTTCTCGAAGTCTTCTACAGTCACACCAGTCAGAAGTGACTCCTTCTCTGGGCTCCTCTTAGGTCTCTGTACAAACCATCTAGACTAAATTGGCTTGTGCAGACCTTTGTATCCTACTGAACAGTAAGTTCCTTGAGGCTAATGACATGTTTATACACTTAGTGTTTTCCTTTCTACCTAGAACAACACCTTCTCTGCCTAAGAAATCTTTAGGGTAGGAATGAGTGGCCATTTTTTGGTTATAGGGGAAGGAGTTATTTGGTGTCACCATTTAGAATTATTTGGTTTTACAAAACAGAAATCCTCTGAAAGAAACTCATAAAAAGGCAGTCTTTTAGAAGGATACAAGGGCATCTCATGGAACTTAATTGTGGCATTGCAGTCTGGGTTTAGGGAAGTGTGAATGTCTCCAGTCACCTCCTGTCTGCATTCCCCTCTTCCTGGCACTGTGTGGTCCTCTCCAGTCCATCTGTCTGTCTGTTCTGTTTTCTGTTGACCCCTCTCAAGGCTGTTTCTGCTTCCCCATACTTCAGATGACATGCAATATTACCTTGTTGTGAAGCAAACTCTGGCCTCAGTTCAATGTGGTCTTTTAAATCAGGACTCACCATCATCCTACTAACTACAATTTTTGTTAAGTCTTTAAAAATTCTCAAGGGAAAGAACATGGCTGGCATTGGCTAACCAGGGTCAGATTAAGACACTTAGAGATATCAAAGCACTAAAAAGATTGTGTTCCACATATACTGTAAAATCAAAATTTTACAATAATTCTAAGCAATTAAATAAGTGTAAGAAAGTCCACTTTAGTCTGATTTTTTTCCCCTAATGACTACTTTGATTTTTTTAAACATCCTAGTAATAAATATTATCAAAGGAAATTTGGGGTTTCCTCAATTTTTCCAGTGCATCAATCATTACCTATTTGGTAATCTGACTTGGGGCCACCCAGGGGATTATCTTCCCCAGGAGAGGTGATATGGTTTGGCCCCCACCCAAATCTCATCTTTAATTGTAACTCACACAATTCCCACATGTCATGGGAGGAAGCTGTTGGGAGGTGATTGAATCATGAGGGCGGGTCTTTCCCATGCTGTTCTGGTGATAGTGAGTGGGTCTCATGAGATCTGATGGCTTTAACAATGGGAGTTTTCCTGTGCAAGCTGTCTTCTCTTGTCAGCCTCCATGTGAAACATGCCTTTCACCTTCTGCCATGATTATGAGGGCTCCCCAGCCATGTGGAACTGTAAGTCCAATAAACCTCTTTCTTTTGTAAATTGCCCAGGCTCAGGTATGTCTTTATCAGCAGTGTGAAAAAGAACAAATAGAGTAAATTGGTACCAGTAGAGTGGGGTGCTGCTGAAAAGATACCCAAAAACGTGGAAGCAACTTTGAAACTGGATAACAGGCAGAGATTGGAACAGTTTGGAGGGCTCAGAAGAAGACAGGGAAATGTGGGAAAGTTTGGAACTTCCTAGAGACTTGTTGAATGGCTTTGACTGAAAGCCTGATAGCGATGTGGACAATAAGGTCTAGGTGGAGGTCGTCTCAGATGGAGATGAGGAATTTATTGGTAACTGGGGCAAAGGTGACTCTTGTAATGTTTTAGCAAAGAGACTGGTGGCATTTTGCCCCTGCCCTAGAGATTTGTGGAACTTTGAACTTGAGAGAGATGACTTAGGGTATCTGGTAGAAGAAATTTCTAAGCAGCAAAGCATTCAAGAGGTGATGTACCTGTCTTTTATATTTGGGTCTAGAGGTCAGAGAAAGAAGTCGGATATTTTGAGGCATAAGAAAGCCTCCGTTATTAGAGGGAGCCACATGGTATGGAAAGGAATGCAAGCAGCCTCTAGGAGATAAGAGCAGCCCCAGCTGACAGCCAGCAAGCAAACGAGAACCTCAGTCTTACAACCACAAATACAGTTCACCCTCGAATAACACAGCTTGAACTGTGCAGGTCCATTTATATCCGATTTTTTTTTTCAATAACTGTACTAGAACATGTTGTGGAGATTTGCAACAATTTGAAAAAATTCCCAGATGAACTGCATAGCCTGAAATATCGAAAAAAATAAAAAGTTAGGTATGCATGGCTGTATAAAATATATACAGATACCAGCCTATTTTATCATTTACTACCATAAAGTATACACAAACCTATTATAAAAAGTTGAAATTTATCAAAACTTACACAAATACTTACAGATAATATACGATGCCATTTGCAGTTGAGAGAAATGTAAAAAACATAAAGATGCAGTATTAAAGCATCACTGCATAAAATTAACTGTAGTAAATGCTGTACTTCTGTAATAATTTTGTAGCCACCTCCTGTTGCTATTGTGGTACGCTCAAGTGTTGCAAGTATCCACTTAAAGTGCCATGTGACACTAATCATCTTGTAAGCAGTTCATCTCTCCAGTAAATTGCACATAATAGTAAAAAGTGACCTCTCATGGTTCTTACATAGTTTTCATTGTGTTTAGTGCAGTACTGTAAACCTTGAATAACACGACGGAACCCATCTGAAGTGCAACTAGTGATGCTAGAAGTGTACCCAAGAGGCAGAGAAAAGTCATAACGTTACAAAACAAAGTTGAATTGCTTGATATGTACCACAGATTGAGGTCTCCAGCTGCAGTTCCCTGCCATTTCAAGATAAATGAATCCAGCATAGGAACTACTGAAAAAAAAAAAAAAAGAAAGAAAGAAAACAGAGAGAGAGAGGACATTTGGGAAGGCATTGCTGGCTTTGCCAGCAGGTGCAAAAATGTTGTAGTTTTTACAAAATGCCTTTTAATCTTGTATTGAAAATGCAGCTTTTATGTGGGTGCAAGATTGGAATAATAAAGGCATACCTGTAGGCTCGAATATGATTCAAGGAAAAACCAAGTCATTATGTGACAACTTAAAGCACAATGAAAGTGAAAGATCTAAAGCTAGAAAGAGGTTTGGCTTTAAAAATGTTAAGATAACAGGAGAAGCAGCTTTGCCTACCAGGAGGCAGTAGACAACTGTTCAGATGCAATTAAGAAGAACATTGAGAAGGAATATCTTCCTAAACAGGTTTTTAATGCACACTAATGGGCCCCATTCTGGAAAAAAAAATGCTACAAAATACATTTATTAGTAAAAAAGAGAGGCAAGCACCAGGAGTTGAGGCAGGAAAGGGTAGGTTAATGCTACTGTTTTTTGCAAATGCAGTCGGGCTTATTATCAGGACTGCCCTTATCTATAAGGGTTTTGCTTATCACGAAGCCTGAGGAAAGAAGATAAACATCAGCTGCAAGTCTTTTGCTTGTACAAGAAGAAGGCTGGAAAATGAGAAACATTTTCCTGGTTTGGTTCCGTAGATGCTTTGTCCCTGATGTCAGAAGAACCTTGCCAATAAAAAACTGCCTTTAATTTTTTATATATATATATATATATGACTATATATATATGACTATATATGACTATATATATGACTATATATGACTATATATGACTATATATAACTATATATATGACTATATATAACTATATATGACTATATATAACTATATATATGACTATAGATAACTATATATGACTATATATATAACTATATATGACTATATATGACATCATATATATTATTATATATATAGTATACATAATATATGTATGTTATTATTATATATATATATATATTAGACAATGCTCCTGGCCACTCAGAACCCATGAGTTCAACACCAAAAGCGTCAAAGTGATCTACTTGCCCCCAGACATAGCATCTCTAATTCAGCCTCCAGATCAGGGGGTTATTAGGACCTGTAAGGCTCACACACGTGGTTCTGTATAGAAAGGATTGTGAATGCTAGGGAAGAGAACCCCGATAAAGAGAACATCATTAAAGTTTGGAAGGATTGCACCATTAAAAATGTCATCATTGTTATAGAAAAAAACGTGAAAGCCACATGGCCCGAAACAATAAATTTCTGCTGGAGAAAACCATGTCCAGATGCTGCGCATGACTTCACAGGATTTACAGAGCCAATCAAGCAAATCATGAAGAGTATGTGGGTATGGCAAAAGAAGGTGGGAGGCAAAGGGTTTCAGGATATGAATCTTGGAGAAATTCAAGAGATAATAGACAACATACTAAAGGAAATCACAGAAGTCAACCTGATAGAGATGAGTACTTCTGAATCAGGGCCAATGAGGAAGAGGACATAGAAGCAGTAGTGCCAGAAAGCAAATTGACATTAGAAAATCCATCAGAAGGGTTCTGATTATTCAGGACTGCTTTTGACTTCTTTTATGACATGGACCTTTCTATGATATGGGCACTGAAACGAAAGCAAGCTGTAGAAGGATTGGTACTACATAGAAACTCAGAGAAATAAGGCAAAAAATTCAGACAGAAATTACCATGTATTCCCGTAACGTGACACCAAGTATGCCTGCCTCTCCTACCTCCCCTTTCACTTCCCCCACCTCTTCCGCCTCTGCCACCCTTGAGCCAGCAAGACCAACCTTTCCTCTTCCTCCTCTTCTTCAGCCTACTCAACATGATGATGATGAGGATGAAGACCTTTATGACAGTCCATTCTCACTTAATTAATAGTAAATATATTTTCTCTTCCTTATAATTTTCTTAATATCATTTTCTTTTCTTTAGCTTACCTTATTTTAAGAAAACTGTATATAATACATATAATATACAAATTCCATATTAATCAGCTATCTATGTTATCAGTAAGGCTTTCAGTCAAGAGTAGTCTATCAGTGGTAAGTTTTAGGGGAGTCAAAAGAGATATATGATTTTTTTTTACTATGCAGGGAGTCAGTGCCACAACTCCCATGTTGTTTAAGGGTCAACTGTAACTGAATTTGGCCAAAGACCTTGGAAGCAAGCTCTTCCTAGGACACTGGAAGACCTTGAGCCTCCCATTGAGAACTCAACCCACCCAACACATTTATTTTAGCCTTTTGATACCCTGAACTGAGAACAATGGTATGCCATACCTGTTTTAAAATGATACATTTGTGGTAACTTTTTACACAGCAATATAAAACTAATACAAAAATACTATAAAGATTGAGAATCATGACACTAGACAAAGGAGATTGGTTCCAGGATGCAGTGAACAAGTGCTTCTGCTTGCTCCCCATTCATTTCTCCTTTTTCTTAATGGTTATCCTTGAACACCTGCCTTTCCTCCTCTGTTAGTCTGATTGGTATGAGGTTGTCCCCTGCCAAGCCCCACCTTCACCTCCAGAAGTGAGCATATTACCCAGGTTCAGCAAAAAGGATTCGATTTTGGAGTTTCCTTTGGAACTACCGGGAAAGAGAAGATCATTCAAAGGATGAATAAATCTATCTTGGGAAAGTAGAGACTAAGAGATGGAGAGAGTCCTAATCCTGATGATATGGTTTGCCCCAATATCCAATCATACCAAAAAGTAGAATCCCAGTACTATTCAGTTATGTAAGCCAATATATTTCCTTTTTTGCTTAAGTCAATTTTGAGATATCACTTGCAAGCCAAAGAAGCCTTGAAAAATCATAGCATATAACATTATAGCTTAAAAAAAGTAAACCCTACATTCTCTAGTGTACAAGTATCTGAAAGAACAACATAAACCACAGTTCAAAATTAAAGATAAGCACTCTGACTTCTGTTACATAGAAGACTATAATATTTAAACATCACTTCCTCATGGAAGCCTTAGCTGACGCCTCTGTTGGCTCAGGTATACCTTTTATATTCTCTCTTGGGACTTACACTTCCCCCTCCAGAGCACAATGCACTTATAATCAAATATTTGTTTATGTAATTGCCTATTTGATGTCTGTTTTCCTTAGCAGTCCCATGAGGACAAGCATTGTGGCTTATCACTGTATCCCTGGGGCTGCCACAATATAGGTGCCCAGTTGTATTACTGGTTGAATGAATGATTACAAGGACCTTAGCATGACTAAAGTTCATAAAGGAATAATATCTTTTTGCCTATTTGAAAGAATTCCCGTATCATATATGTGCTTGAAGTATAAATCCAGTTGCTTTTATTGTAAGTAAATTTGATTTCATCACCATTCTTAAGATAATCTAACACCAATTAGCTTCAGATTTCCTTCCATAAAATCAGTTGAAAGTAAGAGCTAACACGTGTAAACCAGTTCACAAATTAGGATGTGCTTTTCATATACGTTAGCTTCCTTAATCCCTACAAGAATCCTGGGACTGAAGAACCAAGGCTCAAGGAGGTGCCTTGTCCAGGGTCCCACGCACACGGTGAGGTGGTGCCAGGGCTAGACTAAATCTAGTGCATTTCTCCTGAAAATAATGAGCATGCAAGTCCACATTAACAAGTTTTTCCTCTTTTTCTTAACCAAGGCATAAGTCATTTTGATATTATTTTAAGCTATATGTGTGTATAATAAATCATATGTAATAAAAAGCTGAATAATGGAGAACACACTGGAATTCAGTTATTCTAAAGGATAGCATTAAACTTTATATTTTAGCCAGATGAGTAAAGCACTCAAGTATGAGTGTGTATGTTGGGGGACACAGGGGTGTATTGCCTTAAAGTGGGAGAAAAAGTCTTCTTACTTGTTGGGACCGCTCAGAATTTCCCAGTTACATCTAGTTTAGCCCTAATAAACAATTTGAGAAGTTTTTTGTTTGTTTGTTTTGCTTTTATAAAAACTAGTATATGCTTATCTGCTATATTATGAGAAAAGTAAATTACCCTTTAGGAAGGAATTACTTTTGGGTAACAAGTCATTGTTTCATTGAAGATGCATGGTTAAAAAAAATCTTTATGGTGGTGGGGCCTGTTTTCTTCCTTTTATAATTGTTATAATCCACCAGAAATAATATATAATTTTGTGTAACTCTACGGCTGTCTCACAGATGGATGGGATAATATGTCTCTGTTTCTCCAACCTTAACCCCAATCCCCTACTTCTGTTTCTCCACTCACTCAAAGTCCCTGTAATTGTCACTTGGTAATGTATATGAGCATGCACGGACAGAGAGGTAACAGGGCATGCTCAAGTTTTCCTGCCAGTGATGTGCATTGCCTCATGTCATAAACAGTAAATCCTTTATGCTGAAAGTCTGTTCATTTTCACACCATTCACTTGTCTGCTAACAGTTGTCCAGATTTTTTAATTCGGCCTCTTACACTAATCCTGCAACTGCTGGTCCTAGACAGGTGCAGGGATCAGACTGGCTCAGTTAAGTAAAACATCTGGCCTGAAAATGATAATAGGCTCTTTTTACTCCCTCCAGCTATAGGAAGAATGTGGAGTTTTCAAATGCTAAATCACACAATTAGGCTTTAATATTCCCTTAAACATACACATCCCAAACACCACCACCAAATGCATAAATGTCCACATTCACATACACAAATAATCACATACACACATGATAAGTAACATTCCACTATTTCTTTTACAAAACAAGACCTCTATTTTTTCATGTGTCTGTTGGCTGCATAAATGTCTTCTTTTGAGAAGTGTCTGTTCATATCCTTTGCCCACTTTTTGATGGGCTTGTTTGATTTTTTTCTTGTAAATTTGTTTAAGTTCTTTGTAGATTCTGGATATTAGCTCTTTGTCAGATGGGTAGATTGTAAAAATTTTCTCCCATTCTATAGGTTGCCTGCTTACTCCGATGGTAGTTTCTTTTGATGTGCAGAAGCTCTTTAGTTTAATTAGATCCCATTTGTCAATTTTGGCTTTTGTTGCCATTGCTTTTGGTGTTTTAGTCATAAAGTCCTTGCCCATGCCTATGTCCTGAATGGTATCGCCTAGGTTTTCTTCTAGGGTTTTTATGGTTTTAGGTCTAACATTTAAGTCTTTAATCCATCTTGAATTGATTTTTTATAAGGTGTAAGGAAGGGATCCAGTTTCAGCTTTCTACATATGGCTAGCCAGTTTTCCCAGCACCATTTATTAAATAGGGAATCCTTTCCCCATTTCTTGTTTTTGTCAGGGTTGTCAAAGATCAGATGGTTGTAGATGTGTGGCATTATTTCCAGGGGCTCTATTCTGTTCCATTGGTCTATATCTCTGTTTTGGTACCAGTACCATGCTGTTTTGGTTGCTGTAGCCTTGTAGTATAGTTTGAAGTCAGGTAGCGTGATGTCTCCAACTTTGTTCCTTTGGCTTAGGATTGTCTTGGCAATGCGGGCTCTTTTTTGGTTCTATATGAACTTTAAAGTAGTTTTTTTTTCCAATTCTGAGAAGAAAGTCATTGGTAACTTGATGGGGATGGCACTGAATCTATAAATTACCTTGGGCAGTATGGCCATTTTAACAATATTGATTCTTCCTATTCATAAGCATGGAATGTTGTTTCATTTGTTTGTGTCCTCTTTTATTTCGTTGAGCAGTGGTTTGTAGTTCTCCTTGAAGAGGTCCTTCACATCCTTTGTGAGTTGGATTCCTAGGTATTTTATTCAGAAATGCAAATCAATACCACAATGAGATACCATCTCACACCAGTTAGCATGGCAATCATTAAAAAGTCAGGAAACAACAGGTGCTGGAGAGGATGTGGAGAAATAGGAATGCTTTTACATTGTTGGGGGATTGTAAACTAGTTCAACCATTGTGGAAGACAGTGTGGCGATTCCTCAAGGATCTGGAACTAGAAATGCCATTTGATCCAGCCATCCCATTACTGGGTATATGCCCAAAGGATTATAAATCATGCTGCTATAAAGACACAGGTACACATATCATATGTTTATTGCAGCACTATTCACAATAGCAAAGACTTGGAACCAATCCAAATGTCCATCAATGATAGACTGGATTAAGAAAATGTGGCACATATACACCATGGAATACCATGCAACCATAAAAATGGATGACTTCGTGTCCTTTATAGGGACATGGATGAAGCTGGAAACCATCATTCTCAGCAATCTATCACAAGGACAGAAAACCAAACACCTCATGTTCTCACTCATAGGTGGGAATTGAACAATGAGAACACTTAGACACAGGGTGGGGAACATCACACACCAGGGCCTGTCATGGGGTAGGGGAAGGGGAGAGGGATAGCATTAGGAGATATACCTAATGTAAATGACAACTTAACGGGTGCAGCACACCATCATGGCACATGTAATCTCCACGATGTGCACATGTACTCTAGAACTTGAAGTATAATAATAATAAAAAAATAAAAATAAAACAAGACCTGTAAAGAGTAAGAGCCTGGGAAACATGAGGATCTGACTCTGACAATCCCCTTTGTTTCTGGGTTTCAACAGGTATTGGTGGTGGAGCTCTCAGGCCTAAAGGTAACTTTTTGCAGGAAGCACATCATGAGCTTCCATGACATTCTCAGGTTTTATGACTTCATGAGTTCAAAGCAAATTATAGATGATTCAAGGTGAGAAAGATGATACCTGGGGATGGGATTATTTCATGGAAGGCTTTTAGCCTCATCTATCCATTTTAGAATCTAGTCATAGACAGGGACTGGATATGATAAACTACCAACATTTATGAGTCCTCTCAGCTCTAAATATATGGTGATTTTATGATCCCCACATATGTGTGGTGGCAGATATGCCGTCCAGTTCTCAAAAGGAATATATAAGTATTACAAGGATTCTTGATTTTCAACAAAGCTGAGAAACTCTCCAGAAAACCCACTATCAGTTGGCATCCCCTAGTGTATTTTGAGGGGCTGAAGAAAATTTCTGCATTCATGGCCAGAGCCACCCATCAGAATTTTTACCTCTATTTTGCCTAGTGAAGAATATTGCTTTTATAAACCCAGGTCAGCTAAGTTTAATGAGGCTCAACTATCACAGAAAGATTGGATATGGAACTAAAACGAAAGCCTTGACCAGTAGTAAAAGCTGAAAAAGTAAATTTGCTCAGGGCTGGTGATATTGCCTAGCTATGTCCCCACCCAAATCTCATCTTGAATTATAGTTCATGTGTCATGGGAGGGACCTGGTGGGAGGTAATTGAATCATGGGGGCGATTGCACTCATGCTGTTCTCATGATACTGAACGAGTCTCATGAGATCTGATGGTTTTATAAGGGGCTTTTCCCCTCCTAGCTCTCATTCTTCTTTCTGCTGCCATGTGAAGAAGGATGTGTTTTCTCCCCCTTCTACCATGATTGTAAGTTTCCTAAGGCCTCCCCAGCTCTGTGGAACTGTAAGTCAATTAAAACTCTTTCCTTTATAAATTACCCAGTCTCAGGTAAGTCTTTATTGGCAGCATGAGAATGGAGTAACCCAGCTGGCCTTCCTGCCACCAAGGACTGGTACATAGTGATGAGGCCCAGTGCAAAATTAAAATGCAGGAACTCTTGTTCAAAAGTTATTAAGAATTTCAAGATGGCAATAGCAGAACATGAAACCAAGGATGAAGCCATTCTAAACACAGGGTTTTGTGGGACTGCAAAGGTCACATGGCGATGAAGCCAGTATTGTGCCACCTGCAATCTCACAGCTATGCTTTGAGCTATGCACTTTGAGGCAATGAGAGTGACTTGTTCATCCCTGGATCCTCAGTGTTACTAAGCACAGTCTCTGCACCACTCTCATTCTTTGTAAATAAGGGATGGGTTAGGCATGAATAAGGAGCTTGGATTTTATTTGTTAAGTAGTGGGACAGCGATTCTGGAGGGCAGGTAGAAACTTTTTGTTACAGTCAATGACAGTGAATCTCAAAGTATGGCCCTTGAACCAGCAACCTTGGCATCACCTAAGAATTTGATAGAGATGTAAATTAACTGGTCTTACTCAGACCTACAGAATCAGAACCTCTGTAGATAGGACCCAAAAATCTGTTTTGACAAACCCTTGAGGTGATTCTGATCATACCAGTGTTTGAGAACCAAGCGGTCAGGTACTAGATAAAGGGCCGCTTTAATAGTATGGTGGTAGAAGGGCTGGGAGAGAGAGAAAAGATACAGAAATAATAAGAAGACATAATTGACAGATGTAATAATGAATTATTTGTGAGAAAAAGAGAGTCTAGGATAATTCTCAGATCTTTGGCTGCAGTGACTATTTCATTATGATACCACTCACTGAGATAAAAGGAAGAGGGTCAGGTTTCAGAAAATAGGAAGGACTTAGTTTTGGTATAAATGAAAACCTAGACAAAGATCTCCAGTTCTCCATTTACACCTTTTTCTTGCCTTCAGATGTTTAGAATCTTTTAATGATAAATTCTTAAAATATTATGAATTGTGAATATTGCGAAAGTGTTTATATTTTATCTGATCAGCTGAATGTAATAAGATTGATGCTACCCCAACCTATCTATATACCTTCCTTACATTCGAGATACTTAATCCATCAACCACAAAGGAAAATTAAAAACCTAAAGTGATAGGTAGTGGGACAGGATGATTGGAATCAACTGTAACTACTAGAGGACTAAAAAGAGAAAAAGGGAGAAGGGGTTGAGGTATGAGTCAAGAGGAAACAAGAACTTTCTTGGCTATTCCTATTATGTTATTTTATTTATATATTATATACCTTATATAATATAACATAGATAATAAAAATAAAAGAATAGAAAATATTTACTAAATGTATATCACATAAGTTGCATCTATAATATATAAAGAACATTCTAAACTAAATAATAAGATAACCCAATTCAAAAAGTGAGCAAAAAATATTTAATTACAGAAGAGATATCGATAAGACATAAGCACATGAAAAGATATCCAACATCATCAGCAAACAGGAAAATGCAATTAAAACACAGTTAGATATTACTACATACCTATCAATATGCTGATGCAGAACAACTGAAACTCTTATAAATTGCTGGTGAGAATGCAAAATTGTACAATTATTTTGGAAAATTGTTTGGTAAGTTCTTAAAAAGTTAAACACATACTTATCATACAACCCATAAATCCCACTCCTAGGTCTTACCCAAGAAAAATAGAAACAATGTACTTGCAAAGACCTACATGTGACTACTTGTAACATCTTTATAACATCTTTATTCATAATTACCCAAAGCTGCAAACAACACAATGGCCAACAACTACTGAATGGATGAACAAATTGTGGTATACCCATAGAATAGAATACAACTCAGCGTATACAGGAAAAATCTTACTGATATATACAGCAATAAGGATGACTATCAAATCTTCTTGCACTAACAAAGGTCTGTTCTCCTTAGCCAAAGGACCAGGAAAGGAGAAGCCTAGCAAGACAGAAAGCTTATAGACAATAAATAGTCTACTCTAGCCAAATATTTAAAATCTTGGCTTTGTCTCCATCCATGCTAGAAAAGGCTGAATAAAGAGCCTAGACTTCCATCCTCACCAGATGCCCAACACACTGCTAGGGTGATGTCAGAGGAGGCCACCCTAAGACTAAAAGTGTCACCCCCAACCATCCTGTAATAACACCCTAGCCTATGGTGTTAATAGCTCCAGCCCTACCCAGCTGTAATGAGATATTCCTCTCTCTCCCTGCAGGAATGTCATCAGAGATGACCTGGTGGAGAGTCGGGACTTCACCATCATCCATTGATTAAGCCACTGTCCACATGGAATCAGTCAAGGATGTAGGGAGAGCCAGAACTCCCATTCCCCCCCAGTAGTAATGAGGAGACCCCCTTAAAGGCTGAGTAAGAAACCTGGAATTAACAAGGTCGTGAGCTCCATTCCTCAGGCAGAACAACATCAGAGAAACCCAATTAAAGTAGGAGATCTATAGTCTCATAATATAATACAAAAATGTCCAGGTTTCAATTTAAAAAATCACTCATCATACCAAGAACCAGAAATATTTATCAACAGAATGATAAAAGACAATCAGTAGATGCCAACATCAAGATGACACACATGTTAGAGTTATTTGGCAAAGATATTAAAGAAGCCATGATAAAAATGCTTCAACAAGCAATTATAAACATGCTTGAAACAAAAAATAGAAAGCCTCAGCAAATAAATAGGAGATATAAAGAAGAATCCAGTGGAAACTTTAGAACCGAAAAATATAATAGTTGAAATGAAAAAGTTCAGTGGATAAACTCAATAACAAAAAAAGGAGGGAATATAGGAGATAATCAGTGATCCAAAATTTTAAACAATGGAAATTTCCTAATCTGAACAATGAAATAGACTGAAATAAAAAGATGAATAGAGCCTGAAAGACATTTAGGACTAAAGCAAAAGATCTAATGTTGAAGTCATCAGAATCCCAGAAGAAGAGAAGGAAGAGGGTGAGGCTGAAAAAGTATTTGAAGAAATAATGGATGAAAACTTCCAAAATTTGCCAAGAGACATAAGCCTACAGATTCAAGAAGCCGAGTAAGCCTCAAATAGGAAAAATCCAAAAAATACATACCAGGGCATATCACAATTAAACTTGGAAAATGAAATACAAATTAAAATTTTTAAAATTGAAGTAGACCTAAAAAAACACCTTACCTCTAGGAAAAATGAAGCAAATGATAGCAGTTTCTCATTAGAAACCATGGAGGCCAGAAGGAAGTAGCATACTATTTTTCAAGCACTAAAAGAAAAGAACTGTCAACACTGATTAACCATCAACCAAGAGGATCTAATAGACATTTAAAGAATATACCATCCAACAACAGAATACATGTTATTTTTAAATACCTATAGAACATGTATCAAGAGACACCATATCCTGGGCCATAAAACGAACCTTAACAAATTTAAAATAATTGGAATCATACGAACTGTATTCTCTGATTATAATGGAACAAAATTAGAATCAATAACAGAAAGATAACAGGAAACTTTACTCTCAAAACACTCAGAAACTAAACAACACACTTCTAAATAATCCATGGGTCAAAGAGAAAGTCTAGAGGGAAATTTAAAAAATATGCTGAATTGAATAAAAATGAAAACTCGATCTATCAAAATGGTGGAAAGTATCTAACACATTACGGAGAGGCACATTTATAGAACTAAATATATACATTGGGAAAAAGAAAACTTTCAGATCAATAATCTAATCTCCTGCCTCAAGAACCTAAAAGAGCAAACTAAACCTAAAGCAAATAGTATGAAGTAGGTAATTTAAATAAGAATAGACATCAACTGAGAACAAAAAAACTATAGAGAAAATCAACAATACAAAGAGCTGATACTTTGAAAAGATTGATAAAACTGAAAAATCTCTAAACAGACTGATAAAGAATAAATGAGAGAAGATGCAAATTACCTTACCAAACATGGAGCAGAGAGGTCACTACAGACTCTGCAGACATCAAAAGGATAATAGGGGAAAACTAAAAATAACTCCACACAAGTAAGTTTTATAATGTAGACAAAATGGAACCCTTTCTCAAAAAATACAAACCACGACAACTCACATCCAATATTAAATAACCTTAAAATTCAAATAACCTTAAAATTATTAAGGAAATTTAATTCATAATTTAAAAACTCTCAAAAAAGGAATCTCTAGGACCAGATAGTTTCACTGAAGAATTCTACTAAGCATTTAAAGAAGAAGTGACACAAATTCTACAGGATCTTTTCTATGAAATAGAGGAGAACACAATTCATTTTATAAAGCTAGTATTATCCTGACACCAAAAAGAAACAAGGGCAGTACAACAAAAGAAAACTACAGATTATTATCTCTCACGATCATATATGCAAAAATTATTTTTAAGAATAAACAAATGGAATTAAAAGTATACATCATTACAAAGTGGGATTTATTCCAAGAATGTAAGATTTGTTCAATATTAAAAAATAAGCAATGTAATCCAACATATTAAAAAGCTAAAGAAAAAAAATCGCATAATCATGTCAATCAATACTGAAAAAAAGCATTAACAAAGTTTAACACCCGTTTATGATAAAAATTCTCAGAAGAAAATGAGCAAAAGGGAACTTCTTCAGCTTGATACAGAGAATTTACAAAACAAGGGGGGATGATCTGCAGCTAACGTTAGGCTTACTGGTGGAAGGACTGAATGCTTTCCCCTAAGACTGGGGGCAAGGTAAGGATGTTCACTCTCACCACTCATATTAAACAGGGTGCTGAAAGTTCTAGCCAATACTGTAACACATGAAAGGGAAAAAAAGATGTATAAGATTGGAAAGGAAGAAATAAAACTGTCCATATTTGCAGATGAAATGATTATCTATGAACAAAATACTAAGGAATATCCAAAAACTTCCTTGAACTAATAAGTGAGTTCAGTAAGTTTACAAGATAAACATACCAAAATCAGTTGTATTTCTATATACTGGCAAGAAACATGTGGATACCGAAATTAAAAACACGATGCCAATTGCAATTGTTTAAAAAATGAAATACTTAAGAGTAAATCTAACAAAACATGTACAAAACTTGTATGCTGAAAACTGCACAACAGTAATGCAATAAATCAAAGATCTACATAAATGGAGAGGCATACTGTGTTCATGGATTAGAAGACTTGAAATAATAGAGAGGTCAATTTTCCACAAATTGATATGAAAGTTCAGTGCAATTCCTTTCAAAATACTAGTAAGATTTTTTTGTAGATATAGACAAGATTATTCTAAAGTTAATATGAAAAGGCAAAGGAACTAGAATAGCTAAAACATTTTTTGAAAAATAAAGAGAGAATCAGTCTACCCAATTTCAAGACTTAATACACAGCTACAGTAATCAAGACTGTGTAGTACTAGTGGAGGGATAGAAAAATAAATTAATGGAACAGAATAGAGAATCTAGAAATACATTCATACAAATATTTCCAACTAATTTGTGACAAGAATGCACAACCAATTCAACAGAGGAAGACTAGACTTTTCCACAAATGGTGCCAGAGCTCTGGAGACTACAGGCCAAAAAGATTATCCTTGACTCAAATCTCACACGTTTCACAAAGAGTGGCTTAAAATGATCACAGACTTAAACATGAGTGTAAAGCTATAAAACTTCTAGAAGAAAATATTCAGGATATAGAGCTAGGCAAAGAGTTCTTAGATCTGACACCAAAAGCATAATTCACAAAAGGAAAAATAGATAAACTAGACTTCGTCAAAATAAAACTTTTTCTCTGTGAAAGACCCTGATAAGAGGATTAAAAACTCAGCAATCTATAGAGTGGGAGAAAATATTTACAAACCACATATCTAACAAAGATCTACTATCTAGAAGGTAATTTTTAAATTCTGAAAATTTAATGGTAAAACAACCTGCTACAATTTGAAAATATGCAAAAGACATGAAGAGGCATTTCATGAAGGAGTATAAAGCAGAAATAAGCACATGAGAAGATGTTACTTATCATTAGTCATTAGGGAAATAAAAATTAAAACCAAAATGAGATCTCACTATATACCTATGAGAATGACTGAAATTTTTTAAAGTAGTGACTACAACAAATGCTGGAAAAATGCAAAGAAATAGGATCACACATTCATTGCTGTTAAAAATGAATTGGTACAACTACTTAGGTAAATAATTTGACTTTTTTTAAAACTAAATATGCAAATACAATATGGTCCAGTAATTGCACTCTTGGACATTTATTCCAGGGAAATGCAGACTTATGCTCACAGAAAAACCTGTACACAAATATTTGTAGCAGTTTTGTTTATATTACTCCCAAACTGGAAGCAACTCTGATGTCTTTCAGTGAGTGAATGGTTAAATTGTAGTGCACTCATACTATGGAATGCTGCTAAGCAGTAGAGAAGAATAAACTATTGAGACACAGAACATCCTGGATGAATCTCCAGAGAATTATGCAAAGTGAAAAAAGCCAATCCTCAAAGAATACATGTTATATGATTACATTTACATTTTATTTATTTATTTATTTATTTATTTATTTATTTATTTATTTATTTATTTTACTTCAAGTTCTGGGATACATGTGCCGAACGTGCAGGTTTGTTACATAGATATACATGTGCGATGGTGGTTTGCTGCATCTATCAATCTGTCATCTAGGTTTTAAGCTCCACATGCATTCAGTATTTGTCCTAATGCTCTCCCTCCCTTTCCCCCCACCCCCCAACAGGCCCCAGTGTGTGACGTTTCCCTCCCTATGTCCATGTCTTCTCATTGTTTAGCTCCCACTTATGAATGAGAATATGCAGTGTTTGCTTTTCTGTTTCTGTGTTAGTTTGCTAAGAATGATGGTTTCCAGCTTCATTCATGTCCCCGCAAAGGACATGAACTCATTCTTTTTTATGGCTGCATAGTATTCCATGGTGAATATGTGCCACATTTTCTTTATCCAGTCTATCATTGATGGGCATTTGGGTTGGTTCCAAGTCTTTGCTATTGTAAATAGTGCTGCAATAAACATACGTGTGCATGTGTCTTTATAGTAGAATGATTTATAATCCTTTGGGTATATACCCAATAATGGGATTGCTGGGTCAAATGGTATTTCTGGTTCTATATCCTTGAGGAATCACCACACTGTCTTCTACAATAGTTGAACTAATTTACACTCCCACCAACAGTGTAAAAGCGTTCCTATTTCTCCACGTCCTTGCCAGCATCTATTGTTTCCAGACTTTAATGATCCCCTTGAGATGACTTTATTATAGAAATGGAGAATAGATTATTGGTTGCCAGGTGTTAAGGAGGGGTTGGGGATTTGAGGGAAGTGATTGTGACTATAAAAAGGCAATAAGAGGGATCCTTGTGGTGATGAAAATGTTCTCTACCTTGACTGCATCAATGTAAACATCATGGTTGAAATATTGTACAACAGTTTTGCAAGATGTTACCATTGGCAGAAACTGTGCAAAGGAAACATGGGTCTCTATCACTTCTTACCTGTCAATCTACAATTATCTCAAGACCATTTTTTTAAAATGAAGCATTATGCTCAGTGAAAGAAGCTAAACACTAAAAGCTACATATTGTACGATTCCATTTATATGATGAGATCAATTGTTTCCAGGGGCTCAGGTTGTGGGGAGAGGGAGTGACTGCAAAAAGGCAACAGTAAATTTGGGGGGTGATAAAACTATATAACATTAGGTGATTATTACTTGACTAGGTACACATGTTTAAATTCACCAAACTGTGCATTGAAATAGGATGAATTTTACTCTATATAAATTATGCCTCCCAAAAAACCTGGCTTTAAAGGATGAAAAAGTGAAATGCACAATATTTTAAATAATTTTACTTACTTAATAGTAAGAAGAATCGATTGAATATGCTTAGTTTTGAAAACTCTGGGTTTAATACTTTACTGTACAACAATTCAAAGGTCTTGTTCTATATTCAATGCATTTTATTTGATATACTGGTGTTCACCATCGTCAGAATTTGTCAGATGTGAATAGAGTTGTCAGCCCTATCACTTTTCCCTTGTACTTGCATTATTAGTATCATCTTCAATTCACATTTTAATTAGGGGGTGGGGATCTTTTTAAGTATTTGTTAATTTTATTTAGTAACAATTCAATACTCTACACTGTAAATCCACTTAACTGAACTATAGCAAAATAACTTGCAAGTGAATTTTTTTGTTGTTTTTTGTTTTGTTTGTTTTTCTGTTTGTTTGAGACAGAGTCTTGCCCTTGTTGCCCAGGCTGGAGTGCAATGGTGAGACCTTGGCTCACTGCAGCCTCCGCCTCCTGGGTTCAAGCGATTCTCTGGCCTCAGCTTCCCGAATATCTGGGATTACAGCTATGTGTCACGACGACCGGATAATTTTGTATTTTTAGTAGAGACGGGGTTTCACCATGTTGGCCAGGTTGGTCTCGAACTCCTGACCTCGTGATCCGCCCTCCTCGGCCTCTCAAAGTGCTGGGATTACAGGCGTGAGCCACCGCGCCCGGCCTTGCAAGTGAATAATTTAACAAAGGAAGCTGCATTGCATTGACGCCAATCCTCGCATTGACGGAACTTTTTGACTTTCGCTCAGGATACGCTGCATACTTAATGTGAGAGTGTATGTGTCATTTTGTATGTTAAATAATAGTAAATAATATTTCTTCCTTATTTTTAGGTGAAATGTTAGCATAAATATAGTATGCTCTTTCCACATATCAATGGATTTTTTTTTTTTTTCTTTTTTGAGGCAGAGTCTCGCTCTGTCGCTCAGGCTGGAGTGCAGCAGGGCGATCTCGGCTCACTGCCAACTCCGCCTCCTGGGTTCACGCCATTCTCCTGCCTCATCCTCCTGAGTAGCTGGGACTACAGGAGCCCACCACAATGCCCGGCTAATTTTTTTGTATTTTTATTTATTTATTTATTTATTTATTTATTTTTTATTATACTTTAAGTTTTAGGGTACATGTGCACATTGTGCAGGTTAGTTACATATGTATACATGTGCAATGCTGGTGCACTGCACCCACTAACTCGTCATCTAGCATTAGGTATATCTCCCAATGCTATCCCTACCCCCTCCCCCCACCCCATAACAGTCTCCAGAGTGTGATATTCCCCTTCCTGTGTCCATGTGATCTTATTGTTCAATTCCCACCTATGAGTGAGAATATGCAGTGTTTGGTTTTTTGTTCTTGCGATAGTTTACTGAGAATGATGATTTCCAATTTCATCCATGTCCCTACAAAGGACATGAACTCATCATTTTTTATGGCTGCATAGTATTCCATGGTGTATATGTGCCACATTTTCTTAATCCAGTCTATCATTGTTGGACATTTGGGTTGGTTCCAAGTCTTTGCTATTGTGAATAATGCCGCAATAAACATACGTGTGCATGTGTCTTTATAGCAGCATGATTTATAATCCTTTGGGTATATACCCAGTAATGGGATGGCTGGGTCAAATGGTATTTCCAGTTCTAGATCCCTGAGGAATCGCCACACTGACTTCCACAATGGTTGAACTAGTTTACAGTCCCACCAACAGTGTAAAAGTGTTCCTATTTCTCCACATCCTCTCCAGCACCTGTTGTTTCCTGACTTTTTAATGATTGCCATTCTAACTGGTGTGAGATGGTATCTCATTGTGGTTTTGATTTGCATTTCTCTGATGGCCAGTGATGATGAGCATTTTTTCATGTGTTTTTTGGCTGCATAAATGTGTTCATATGGAACCAAAAAAGAGCCCGCATCGCCAAGTCAATCCTAAGCCAAAAGAACAAAGCTGGAGGCATCACACTACCTGACTTCAAACTATACTACAAGGCTACAGTAACCAAAACAGCATGGTACTGGTACCAAAACAGAGATATAGATCAATGGAACAGAACAGAGCCCTCAGAAATAACGTCACATATCTACAACTATCTGATCTTTGATAAACCTGAGAAAAACAAGCAATGGGGAAAGGATTCCCTATTTAATAAATGGTGCTGGGAAAACTGGCTAGCCATATGTAGAAAGCTGAAACTGGATCCCTTCCTTACACCTTATACAAAAATCAATTCAACATGGATTAAAGACTTAAACGTTAGACCTAAAACCATAAAAACCCTAGAAGAAAACCTAGGCATTACCATTCAGGACATAGGCATGGGCAATGACTTCATGTCTAAAACACCAAAAGCAATGGCAACAAAAGACAAAATTGACAAATGGGATCTAATTAAACTAAAGAGCTTCTGCACAGCAAAAGAAACTACCATCAGAGTGAACAGGCAACCTACAAAATGGGAGAAAATTTTCGCAACCTACTCATCTGACAAAGGGCTAATATCCAGAATCTACAATGAACTCAAACAAATTTACAAAAAAAAAACAAACAACCCCATGAAAAAGTGGGCAAAGGAAATGAACAGACACTTCTCAAAAGAAGACGTTTATTTTTTTGTATTTTTAGTGGAGACGGGGTTTCACTGTGTTAGCCAGGATGGCCTCGATCTCCTGACCTCGTGATCCGCCCACCTCGGCCTCCCAAAGTGCTGGGATTACAGATGTGAGCCACTGAGCCTGGCCTCAATGGACTGTCTTAAGAGCCCCCTGGGTACATGCACCTCCTTACTGGAAACCACTAGATTTCTGTAAACTGTAAAAGAAAATAGATAGGCCCTCCACAACAAATACTCTATGATTTACTAGAACATTAATCTGTTGAATCTGATAAGGTTATATTTTAAAGGGCAAGGCTTTTTCATCTATTTTTGTTTTCAAAAGTTTATTTCTTTGAACATTTACCATGGGGATCCAAGGTGTCTATAAGGATAGATTATGAGCCCTTTTGGCATCTCTTTCAACATTTAGTCACATCTATTTAGACTTGTCATTTCCCCAGGCAGAAAAAAATGACTTTATTCTTGGACAATTGTAATATCTTCCTTTATGGTATGCCTGTATATATATTCTGTTCCTCAGAATTCACT
Source organism: Homo sapiens (assembly GCF_000001405.40). NCBI lineage: Eukaryota > Metazoa > Chordata > Mammalia > Primates > Hominidae > Homo > Homo sapiens. Next base: position 117,094,264 of record NC_000006.12, read on the forward strand.
GAAGCTGTGCAAATATTTCCAGCCACAAAACAGCAGTAGAATCATAGAACTACCAAGCATTTAGAACTGGAACAAATCTTAGGGGTCAGGAGTTTATTTTATCATCATCCATGTCTAGATTCTAAATGATGATTTTGAGGTGAAAGGCCCTTGTTTAAGTGAAACCTCTCAGATAATCCAATCCTCAGGCATTATGCACTTCTAAAATCTTGTATCATTCATGTTTATAGATTATAATGAGTCAAATATTATACAGTTGTTCCTAACATTTATTTCCATGAAATCAGAATATATGGATTTTTCTCTTTTTGCAAGTCACAGGTTAAGAAAAAGAAAAAAGCTGGGGCAGGAAGATTCCAACCTCTGAATGTTATGTACTATTTTATCCGGAATGTTTCAGTTGTGGCACCCTGGGGAAAGCTGGTCTCACTTAGAGAGTGTGAGCTGTCTTATGAACAGTGTGAAAAAAGCAGATGTATTGGCAAGGAAGCCTCTGCTTCTCTCAGCTGTACTTTTTACTTAAAAACAAGAGAGATGCCCCAGAAGCAACTGGCCTTTTCAAATTAATATAATATTTTTCATCTGTTAATTAATTTGCATGTTATGCATTTTTAACAAATAATTATGTTATGTATTGTACTTTATAAACACATTATATATTTCTATTGTTTGGCATTTTTTTCTCTTTCAGTGTGTATTTACCTTAACTATAAAATATAAACTTCTTATAAACTAAACAACAGCAATATAAAATGATCACATTTACATACACCCAACTAAGGCAATCCTCTAAATTTCATTTTACAAATATGGCATTCAAATTTTTGTGTTACACATAATTTTAATTACCTCATATTATAATTTGCACATAATTCAGTTTCATTTTTGAAGTTATATCATCCATCAATAAATTGGCATTTTTACTGACAACATGATATTCCATTGAGTTAACATCCAACATTTTGCCTAATAAACTTTTTATTTATTTTTTATTTTCATTTTTATTTTTGTTTTTATTATTATACTTTAAGTTCTAGGGTACATGTGCACAATGTGCAGGTTTGTTACATATGCATACATGGGCCATGTTGGTGTGATGCACCCGTTAACTCGTAATTTACATTAGGTATATCTCCTAATGCTATCCCTCCCCGCTCCCCCCACCCCACGACAGGCCCCAGTGTGTGATGGTCCCCTTCCTGTGTCCAAGTGTTCTCATTGTTCAATTCCCACCTATGAGTGAGAACATGTGGTGCTTGGTTTTCTGTCCTTGAGATAGTTTGCTGAGAATGATGGTTTCCAGCTTCATCCATGTCCCTGCAAAGGACATGAACTCATTCTTTTTTATGGCTGCATAGTATTCCATGGTGAATATGTGCCACATTTTCTTTATCTAGTCTATCATTGATGGGCATTTGGGTTGGTTCCAAGTCTTTGCTATTGTGAATAGTGCCACAATAAACATACGTGTGCGTGTCTTTATAGCAGCATGATTTATAGTCCTTTGGGTATATACCCAGTAATGGGATGGCTGGGTCAAATGGTATTTCTAGTTCAAGATCCCTGAGGAATCGCCACACTGTCTTCCACAATGGTTGAACTAGTTTACAGTCCCATCAACAGTGTAAAAGTGTTCCTATTTCTCCACAGCCTCTCCAGCACCTGTTGTTTCCTGACTTTTTAATGATTGCCATTCTGACTGGTGTGAGATGGTATCCCATTGTGGTTTTGATTTGCATTTCTCTGATGGCCAGTGATGATGAGCATTTTTTCATGTGTCTGTTAGCTGCATAAATGTCTTCTTTTGAGAAATATCAGTTCATATCCTTTGCCCACTTTTTGATGGGCTTGTTTGATTTTTTTCTTGTAAATTTGTTTAAGTTCTTTGTAGATTCTGGAAATTAGCCCTTTGTCAGATTCGTAGATTGCAAAAATTTTCTCCCATTCTGTAGGTTGCCTGTTCAGTCTGATGGTAGTTTCTTTTGATGTGCAGAAGCTCTTTAGTTTAATTAGATCCCATTTGTCAATTTTGGCTTTTGTTGCCATTGCTTTTGGTGTTTTAGACATGAAGTCCTTGCCCGTGCCTCTGTCCTGAATGGTATTGCCTGGGTTTTTTTCTAGGGTTTTTATGGTTTTAGGTCTAACATTTAAGTCTTTAATCCATCTTGAATTAATTTTTTATAAGGTGTAAGGAAGGGATCCAGTTCCAGCTTTCTGCATATGGCTAGCCAGTTTTCCCAGCACCATTTATTAAATAGGGAATCCTTTCCCCATTTCTTGTTTTTGTCAGGGTTGTCAAAGATCAGATGGTTGTAGATGTGTGGTATTATTTTTGAGGGCTCTGTTCTATTCCATTGGTCTATATCTCTGTTTTGGTACCAGTACCATGCTGTTTTGGTTAGTGTTGCCTTGTAGTATAGTTTGAAGTCAGGTAACATGATGCCTCCAGCTTTGTTTTTTTGGCTTAGGATTGTCTTGGCAATGTGGGCTCTTTTTTGGTTTCATATGAACTTTAAAGTAGTTTTTTCCAATTCTGTGAAGAAAGTCATTGGTAACTTGATGGGGATGACACTGAATCTATAAATTACGTTGGGCAGTATGGCCATTTTCATGATATTGATTCTTCCTATCCATGAGCATGGAATGCTTTTCCATTTGTTTGTGTCCTCTGTTATTTCCTTGAGAAGTGGTTTGTAGTTCTCCTTGAAGAGGTCCTTCACATCCCTTGTAAGTTGGATTCCTAGGTATTTTACTCTCTTTGAAGCAATTGTGAATAGGAGTTCACTCATAATTTGGCTCTCTGTTTGTCTGTTATTGGTGTATAGGAATGCTTGTGATTTTTGCACATTGATTTTGTATCCTGAGATTTTGCTGAAGTTGCTTATCAGCTTAAGGAGATTTTGGGCTGAGACAATGGGGTTTTCTAGATATACAATCATGTCATCTGCAAACAGGGACAATTTGACTTCCTCTTTTCCTAATTGAATACCTTTTATTTCTTTCTCCTGCCTGATTGTCCTGGCCAGAACTTCCAATACTATGTTGAATAGGAGTGGTGAGAGAGGGCATCCCTGCCTTGTGCCAGTTTTCAAAGGGAATGCTTACAGTTTTTGCCCATTCAGTATGATATTGGCTGTGGGTTTCTCATAAGTAGCTCTTATTATTTTGAGATATGTCCCATCAGTACCTAATTTATTGAGAGTTTTTAGCATGAGGGGCTGTTGAATTTTGTCAAAGGCCTTTTCTGCATCAATTGAGATAATCATATGGTTTTCGTCTTTCGTTCTGTTTATATGATGGATTACATTTATTGATTTGCATATGTTGAACCAGCCTTGCATCCCAGGGATGAAGCCCACTTGATCATGGTGGATAAGTTTTTGATGTGCTGCTGGATTCAGTTTGCCAGTATTTCATTGAGGATTTTTGCATAGATGTTCATCAGGGATATTGGTCTAAAATTCTCTTTTTTGGTTGTGTCTCTGCCAGGCTTTGGTATCAGGATGATGCTGGCCTCATAAAATGAGTTAAGGAGGATTCCCTCTTTTTCTATTGATTGGAATAGTTCAGAAGGAATGGTACCAGCTCCTCCTTGTACCTCTGGTAGAATTCAGCTGTGAATCCGTCTGGTCCTGGACTTTTTTTGGTTGTTAGGCTATTAATTATTGCCTCATTTTCAGAGCCTGTTATTGGTCTATTCAGGGATTCAACTTCTTCCTGGTTTAGTCTTGGGAGGGTGTATGTGTCCAGGAACTTATCCATTTCCTCTAGATTTTTCTAGTTTATTTGCGTAGAGATGTTTATAGTATTCTCTGATGGTAGTTTGTATTTCTGTGGGGTTGGTGGTGATAAGCCATTTATCATTTTTTATTGCATCTATTTGATTCTTCTCTCTTTTCTTCTTTGTTATCTTGCTAACGGTTTATCAATTTTGTTGATCTTTTCAAAAAAAACCAGCTCCTGGATTCATTGATTTTTTGAAGGGTTTTTTTGTGTCTCTATCTCCTTCAGTTCTGCTCTGATCTTAGTTATTTCTTGCCTTCTGCTAGCTTTTGAATGTGTTTGCTCTTGCTTCTCTAGTTCTTTTAATTGTGATGTTAGGGTGTCAATGTTAGATCTTTCCTGCTTTCTCTTGTGGGCATTTAGTGCTATAAATTTCCCTCTACACACTGCTTTAAGTGTGTCCCAGAGATTCTGGTATGTTGTGTCTTTGTTCTCATTGGTTTCAAAGAACATCTTTATTTCTGCCTTCATTTTGTTATGTACCCAGTAGTCATTCAGGAGCAGGTTGTTCAGTTTCCATGTAGTTGAGCAGTTTTGAGTGAGTTTCTTAATTCTGAGTTCTAGTTTGATTGCACTGTGGTCTGAGAGATAGTTTGTTATAATTTCTGTTCTTTTACACTTGCTGAGGAGTGCTTTACTTCCCAGTATGTGGTCAATTTTGGAATAAGTGCAATGTGGTGCTGAGAAGAATGTATATTCTGTTAATTTGGGGTGGAGAGTTCTGTAGATGTCTATTAGGTCCACTTGGTGCAGAGCTGAGTTCAATTCCTCGATATCCTTGTGAACTTTCTGTCTCGTTGATCTGTCTAATGTTGACAATGGAGTGTTAAAGTCTCCCATTATTATTGTGTGGGAGTCTCAGTCTCTTTGTAGGTCTCTAAGGACTTGCTTTATGAATCTGGGTCCTCCTGTATTGGGTGCATATATATTTAGGATAGTTAGCTCTTCTTGTTGAATTGATCCCTTTACCATTATGTAATGGCCTTCTTTGTCTCTTTTGATCTTTGTTGGTTTAAAGTCTGTTTTATCAGAAACTAGGATTGCAACCCCTGCTTTTTTTTGGTTTTCCATTTGCTTGGTAGATCTTCCTCTATCCCTTTATTTTGAGTCTGTGTGTGTCTCTGCACGTGAGATGGGTCTCCTGAATACAGCACACTGATGGGTCTTGACTCTTTGTCCAATTTGCCAGTCTGTGTCTTTTAATTGGAACATTTAGCCCATTTATGTTTAAGGTTAATATTGTTATGTGTGAGTTTGATCCTATCATGATGTTAGCTGATTATTTTGCTCGTTAGTTGATGCAGTTTCTTCCTAGCCTCAATGGTTTTTACAATTTGGCATGTTTTTGCCGTGGCTGGTACCGGTTGTTCCTTCCATGTTTAGTGCTTCCTTCAGGAACTCTTGTAAGGCAAGCCTGGTGGTGACAAAATCTCTCAGCATTTGCTTGTCTGTAAAGTATTTTATTTCTCTTTCACTTATGAAGCTTAGTTTGGCTGGACATGAAATTCTGGGTTGAAAATTCTTTTCTTTAAGAATGTTGAATATTGGCCCCCACTCTCTTCTGGCTTGTAGAGTTTCTGCCGAGAGATCCACTGTTAGTCTGATGGGCTTCCCTTTGTGGGTAACCCGACCTTTCTCTTTGGCTGCCCTTAACATTTTTTCCTTCATTTCAACTTTGGGGAATCTGATAATTATGCATCTTGGAGTTGCTCTTCTTGAGGAGTATCTTTGTGGCATTCTCTGTATTTCCTGAATTTGAATGTTGGCCTGCCTTGCTATGTTGGGGAAATTCTCCTGGATAATATCCTGAAGAGTGTTTTCCAATTTAGTTCCATTCTCCCCATCACTTTCAGGTACACTAATCTGACCTAGATTTGGTCTTTTCACATAATTCCATATTTCTTGGAGGCTTTGTTCATTTCTTTTTACTCTTTTTTCTCTAAACTTCTCTTCTCACTTCATATCATTCATTTGATCTTCAATCACTGATACCCTTTCTTTCAGTTGATCGAATCAGCTACTGAAGCTTGTGCATGCATCACGTAGTTCTCGTGCCATGGTTTTCAGCTCCATCAGGCCATTTAAGGACTTCTCTACACTGATTATTCTAGTTAGCCATTCGTCTAATGTTTTTCAAGGTTTTTAGCTTCTTTGCAATGGGTTTGAACATCCTCCTTTAGCTCGGAGAAGTTTGATCGTCTGAAGCCTTCTACTCTCAACTTGTCAAAGTCATTCTCCACCCAGCTTTGTTCTGTTGCTGGTGAGGAGCTGTGTTCCTTTGGAGGATAAAAGGCCTTCTGATTTTTAGAATTTTCAGCTTTTCTGCTCTGGTTTCTGCCCATCTTTGTGGTTTTATCTACCTTTGGTATTTGATGATGGTGACTTACAGATAGGGTTTCGGTGTGGATGTCCTTTTTGTTAGTTTTCCTTCTAACAGTCAGGATCCTCAGCTGCAGGTCTGTTGGAGTTTGCTGGAGGTCCACTCCAGACCCTGTTTGCCTGGGTATCACCAGCAGAGGCTGCAGAACAGCGAATATTGCAGAACAGCAAATGTTCCTGCCTGATCGTTCCTCTGGAAGCTTCGTCTTAGAGGGGCACCCAGCTGTGTGAAGTGTCAGTCAGCCCCTACTGGGAGGTGCCTCCCAGTTAGGCTACTTGCGGGTCAGGGACCCACTTGAGGAGGCAGTCTGTCCAATCTCAGATCTCAAACTCCATGCAGGGAGAACCACTACTCTCTTCAAAGCTGTCAGACAGGGACATTTAAGTCTGCAGAAATTTCTGCTGCCTTTTGTTCAGCTATGCCCTGCCCCCAGAGGTGGAGTCTACAGAGGCAGGCAGGCCTCCTTGAGCTGTGGTGGGCTCCACCCAGTACAAGCTTCCCCGCTGCTTTGTTTACCTACTCAAGCCTCAGCAATGGTGGGCACCCCTCTCCCAGCCTCACTGCTGCCTTGCAGTTCATCTCAGACTACTGTGCTAAGAAACAAGTGAGGAACCCGGTACCATGGTTGTGGGACCTTCTGAGCCAGGCATGGGATATAATCTCCTGGTGTACCATTTGCTAAGACCATTGGAAAAGCGCAGTATTAGGGTGGGAGTGACCCAATTTTCTAGGTGCCATCTGTCACAGCTTCCCTTGGCTAGGAAAGGGAATTCCCTGACCCCTTTTGCTTCCTGGGTGAGGCAATGCCTTGCCCTGCTTTGGCTCTTGCTCGGTGGGCTGCACCCACTCTCCTTCACTCACTGTCTGACAAGCCCCAGTGAGATGAACCCGGTACCTCAGTTGGAAATGCAGAAATCACCCATCTTCTGCATTGCTCACTCTGGGAGCTGTAGACTGGAGCTGTTCCTATTTGGCCATCTTGGAACCATGCCTCATAAACTCTTTACCTTAAGGTATTTAAATTATATGTAGGACACTGGTTCTTTTTTTTTTTTTTTGAGACAGGGTCTTATTCTGTCACCCAGGCTGAAGTGCGGTGGTATGATCACAGCTCACCACAGCCTCAACCTCTGGGACTCAGGTGACCCTCCCACCTCAGCCTCTTGAGTAGTTGGGACTACGGATGTGTGCCATCATGCCCGGCTAATTTTTGTGCTTTTTGTGGAGACAGGGTCTGGCCATGTTGCCCAGGCTGGTCTCAAACTCCTGGGCTCAAGTGATCTGCCCAGCTTGGCCTCCCAGAGTGCTGGGATTACAGGTGAAGGGCACTGGTTATTAAATTTTAGTGGGCTTTGCAATCACTTGAAGGACTAATTAAAACACAGAGTGCTTTGCCCATGTGTGCATGAACATGCGCACACATGCGTGCACGCACACACACACACACACACACAGACACAATCTTCTGACTCAATAGAACAGGGGTAAGACCAGAGAATTTCCATTTCTAAGAAGTTCCCAGGGGATGCAGGTACTGCTGGTCGGGAGGTACCACACTTTTAGAATAACTGATCTAGGGTTCTCTGTTGTGAACTCACCTGCTTTTCATGAAATCTGTTGCTATTACCTGTCTGGAAACTATTCCACCCAAAACAAAAATTCTCATTTCATTTATCAAATTAAGTGTTTTGAAATGCATATCAAGGGAGGAGGAGCCAAGATGGCCGAATAGGAACAGCTCCGGTCTACAGCTCCCAGCGTGAGCGACGCAGAAGACGGGTGATTTCTGCATTTCCATCTGAGGTACCGGGTTCATCTCACTAGGGAGTGCCAGACAGTGGGCAGAGGCCAGTGTGTGTGCGCACCATGCGCGAGCCGAAGCAGGGCGAGGCATTGCCTCACCTGGGAAGCACAAGGGGTCAGGGAGTTCCCTTTCCGAGTCAAAGAAAGGGGTGACGGACGCACCTGGAAAATCGGGTCACTCCCACCCGAATATTGCGCTTTTCAGACCGGCTTAAGAAACGGTGCACCACGAGACTATATCCCACACCTGGCTCAGAGGGCCCTACGCCCACGGAATCTCGCTGATTGCTAGCACAGCAGTCTGAGATCAAACTGCAAGGCGGCAACGAGGCTGGGGGAGGGGCGCCCGCCATTGCCCAGGCTTGCTTAGGTAAACAAAGCAGCCGGGAAGCTCGAACTGGGTGGAGCCCACCACAGCTCAAGGAGGCCTGCCTGCCTCTGTAGGCTCCACCTCTAGGGGCAGGGCACAGACAAACAAAAAGACAGCAGTAACCTCTGCAGACTTAAGTGTCCCTGTCTGACAGCTTTGAAGAGAGCAGTGGTTCTCCCAGCACGCAGCTGGAGATCTGAGAACGGGCAGACTGCCTCCTCAAGTGGGTCCCTGACCTCTGACCCCCGAGCAGCCTAACTGGGAGGCACCCCCCAGCAGGGGCACACTGACACCTCACACGGCAGGGTATTCCAACAGACCTGCAGCTGAGGGTCCTGTCTGTTAGAAGGAAAACTAACAACCAGAAAGGACATACACACCAAAAACCCATCTGTACATCACCATCATCAAAGACCAAAAGTAGATAAAACCACAAAGATGGGGAAAAAACAGAACAGAAAAACTGGAAACTCTAAAACGCAGAGCGCCTCTCCTCCTCCAAAGGAACGCAGTTCCTCACCAGCAACAGAACAAAGCTGGATGGAGAATGATTTTGACGAGCTGAGAGAAGAAGGCTTCAGACGATCAAATTACTCTGAGTTACGGGAGGACATTCAAACCAAAGGCAAAGAAGTTGAAAACTTTGAAAAAAATTTAGAAGAATGTATAACTAGAATAACCAATACAGAGAAGTGCTTAAAGGAGCTGATGGAGCTGAAAACCAAGGCTCAAGAACTACATGAAGAATGCAGAAGCCTCAGGAGCCGATGCGATCAACTGGAAGAAAGGGTATCAGCAATGGAAGATGAAATGAATGAAATGAAGCGAGAAGGGAAGTTTAGAGAAAAAAGAATAAAAAGAAATGAGCAAAGCCTCCAAGAAATATGGGACTATGTGAAAAGATCAAATCTACGTCTGATTGGTGTACCTGAAAGTGATGTGGAGAATGGAACCAAGTTGGAAAACACTCTGCAGGATATTATCCAGGAGAACTTCCCCAATCTAGCAAGGCAGGCCAACGTTCAGATTCAGGAAATACAGAGAACGCCACAAAGATACTCCTCGAGAAGAGCAATTCCAAGACACATAATTGTCAGATTCACCAAAGTTGAAATGAAGGAAAAAATGTTAAGGGCAGCCAGAGAGAAAGGTCGGGTTACCCTCAAAGGAAAGCCCATCAGACTAACAGCGGATCTCTCGGCAGAAACCCTACAAGCCAGAAGAGAGTGGGGGCCAATATTCAACATTCTTAAAGAAAAGAATTTTCAACCCAGAATTTCATATCCAGCCAAACTAAGCTTCATAAGTGAAGGAGAAATAAAATACTTTATAGACAAGCAAATGCTGAGAGATTTTGTCACCACCAGGCCTGCCCTAAAAGAGCTCCTGAAGGAAGCACTAAACATGGAAAGGAACAACCGGTACCAGCCGCTGCAAAATCATGCCAAAATGTAAAGACCATCAAGACTAGGAAGAAACTGCATCAACTAATGAGCAAAATCACCAGCTAACATCATAATGACAGGATCAAATTCACACATAACAATATTAACTTTAAATATAAATGGACTAAATTCTGCAATTAAAAGACACAGACTGGCAAGTTGGATAAAGAGTCAAGACCCATCAGTGTGCTGTATTCAGGAAACCCATCTCACGTGCAGAGACACACATAGGCTCAAAATAAAAGGATGGAGGAAGATCTACCAAGCCAATGGAAAACAAAAAAAGGCAGGGGTTGCAATCCTAGTCTCTGATAAAACAGACTTTAAACCTACAAAGATCAAAAGAGACAAAGAAGGCCATTACATAATGGTAAAGGGATCAATTCAACAAGAGGAGCTAACTATCCTAAATATTTATGCACCCAATACAGGAGCACCCAGATTCATAAAGCAAGTCCTGAGTGACCTACAAAGAGACTTAGACTCCCACACATTAATAATGGGAGACTTTAACACCCCACTGTCAACATTAGACAGATCAACGAGACAGAAAGTCAACAAGGATACCCAGGAATTGAACACAGCTCTGCACCAAGCAGACCTAATAGACATCTACAGAACTCTCCACCCCAGATCAACAGAATATACATTTTTTTCAGCACCACACCACACCTATTCCAAAATTGACCACATACTTGGAAGTAAAGCTCTCCTCAGCAAATGTAAAAGAACAGAAATTATAACAAACTATCTCTCAGACCACAGTGCAATCAAACTAGAACTCAGGATTAAGAATCTCACTCAAAGCCGCTCAACTACATGGAAACTGAACAACCTGCTCCTGAATGACTACTGGGTACATAACGAAATGAAGGCAGAAATAAAGATGTTCTTTGAAACCAACGAGAACAAAGACACCACATACCAGAATCTCTGGGACGCATTCAAAGCAGTGTGTAGAGGGAAATTTATAGCACTAAATGCCTACAAGAGAAAGCAGGAAAGATCCAAAATTGACACCCTAACATCACAATTAAAAGAACTAGAAAAGCAAGAGCAAACACATTCAAAAGCTAGCAGAAGGCAAGAAATAACTAAAATCAGAGCAGAACTGAAGGAAATAGAGACACAAAAAACCCTTCAAAAAATCAATGAATCCAGGAGCTGGTTTTTTGAAAGGATCAACAACATTGATAGACCGCTAGCAAGACTAATAAAGAAACAAAGAGAGAAGAATCAAATAGACACAATAAAAAATGATAAAGGGGATATCACCACCGATCCCACAGAAATACAAACTACCATCAGAGAATACTACAAACACCTCTACGCAAATAAACTAGAAAATCTAGAAGAAATGGATACATTCCTCGACACATACACTCTCCCAAGACTAAACCAGGAAGAAGTTGAATCTCTGAATAGACCAATAACAGGCTCTGAAATTGTGGCAATAATCAATAGTTTACCAACCAAAAAGAGTCCAGGACCAGATGGATTCACAGCCGAATTCTACCAGAGGTACAAGGAGGAACTGGTACCATTCCTTCTGAAACTATTCCAATCAACAGAAAAAGAGGGAATCCTCCCTAACTCATTTTATGAGGCCAGCATCATTCTGATACCAAAGCCGGGCAGAGACACAACCAAAAAAGAGAATTTTAGACCAATATCCTTGATGAACATTGATGCAAAAATCCTCAATAAAATACTGGCAAACCGAATCCAGCAGCACATCAAAAAGCTTATCCACCATGATCAAGTGGGCTTCATCCCTGGGATGCAAGGCTGGTTCAATATACGCAAATCAATAAATGTAATCCAGCATATAAACAAAGCCAAAGACAAAAACCACATGATTATCTCAATAGATGCAGAAAAAGCCTTTGACAAAATTCAACAACCCTTCATGCTAAAAACTCTCAATAAATTAGGTATTGATGGGACGTATTTCAAAATAATAAGAGCTATCTATGACAAACCCACAGCCAATATCATACTGAATGGGCAAAAACTGGAAGCATTCCCTTTGAAAACTGGCACAAGACAGGGATGCCCTCTCTCACCGCTCCTATTCAACATAGTGTTGGAAGTCCTGGCCAGGGCAATCAGGCAGGAGAAGGAAATAAAGGGTATTCAATTAGGAAAAGAGGAAGTCAAATTGTCCCTGTTTGCAGACGACATGATTGTTTATCTAGAAAACCCCATCGTCTCAGCCCAAAATCTCCTTAAGCTGATAAGCAACTTCAGCAAAGTCTCAGGATACAAAATCAATGTACAAAAATCACAAGCATTCTTATACACCAACAACAGACAAACAGAGAGCCAAATCATGAGTGAACTCCCATTCACAATTGCTTCAAAGAGAATAAAATACCTAGGAATCCAACTTACAAGGGATGTGAAGGACCTCTTCAAGGAGAACTACAAACCACTGCTCAAGGAAATAAAAGAGGACACAAACAAATGGAAGAACATTCCATGCTCATGGGTAGGAAGAATCAATATCGTGAAAATGGCCATACTGCCCAAGGTAATTTACAGATTCAATGCCATCCCCATCAAGCTACCAATGACTTTCTTCACAGAATTGGAAAAAACTACTTTAAAGTTCATATGGAACCAAAAAAGAGCCCGCATCGCCAAGTCAATCCTAAGCCAAAAGAACAAAGCTGGAGGCATCACACTACCTGACTTCAAACTATACTACAAGGCTACAGTAACCAAAACAGCCTGGTACTGGTACCAAAACAGAGATATAGATCAATGGAACAGAACAGAGCCCTCAGAAATAATGCCGCATATCTACAACTATCTGATCTTTGACAAACCTGAGAAAAACAAGCAATGGGGAAAGGATTCCCTATTTAATAAATGGTGTTGGGAAAACTGGCTAGCCATATGTAGAAAGCAGAAACTGGATCCCTTCCTTACACCTTATACAAAAATCAATTCAAGATGGATTAAAGATTTAAACGTTAGACCTAAAACCATAAAAACCCTAGAAGAAAACCTAGGCATTACCATTCAGGACATAGGCATGGGCAAGGACTTCATGTCCAAAACACCAAAAGCAATGGCAACAAAAGCCAAAATTGACAAATGGGATCTAATTAAACTAAAGAGCTTCTGCACAGCAAAAGAAACTACCATCAGAGTGAACAGGCAACCTACAACATGGGAGAAAATTTTCGCAACCTACTCATCTGACAAAGGGCTAATATCCAGAATCTACAATGAACTCAAACAAATTTACAAGAAAAAAACAAACAACCCCATCAAAAAGTGGGCGAAGGACATGAACAGACACTTCTCAAAAGAAGACATTTATGCAGCCAAAAAACACATGAAGAAATGCTCATCATCACTGGCCATCAGAGAAATGCAAATCAAAACCACTATGAGATATCATCTCACACCAGTTAGAATGGCAATCATTAAAAAGTCAGGAAACAACAGGTGCTGGAGAGGATGTGGAGAAATAGGAACACTTTTACACTGTTGGTGGGACTGTAAACTAGTTCAACCATTGTGGAAGTCAGTGTGGCGATTCCTCAGGGATCTAGAACTAGAAATACCATTTGACCCAGCCATCCCATTACTGGGTATATACCCAAAGGACTATAAATCATGCTGCTATAAAGACACATGCACACGTATGTTTATTGCGGCACTATTCACAATAACAAAGACTTGGAACCAACCCAAATGTCCAACAATGATAGACTGGATTAAGAAAATGTGGCACATATACACCATGGAATACTATGCAGCCATAAAAAATGATGAGTTCATGTCCTTTGTAGGGACATGGATGAAATTGGAAACCATCATTCTCAGTAAACTATCGCAAGAACAAAAAACCAAACACCGCATATTCTCACTCATAGGTGGGAATTGAACAATGAGATCACATGGACACAGGAAGGGGAATATCACACTCTGGGGACTGTGGTGGGGTCGGGGGAGGGGGGAGGGATAGCATTGGGAGATATACCTAATGCTAGATGACACGTTAGTGGGTGCAGCGCACCAGCATGGCACATGTATACATATGTAACTAACCTGCACAATGTGCACATGTACCCTAAAACTTAGAGTATAATAAAAAAAAAAAAATTTATAAAAAAAATAATAATAAAAAAAAAAAAAAAAAAAAAAAGAAATGCATATCAAGAAGACAGGTCCGATTTCATTAAATACTGGTCATGTATTATTTAAAGACTTCCTAAACCTTATTATTATTATTATTATTAAAGACTTCCTAAACCTTAAAATTATGGTAGGCCTTCATTTGGTTCTATTCATTGTAGTGAGATGGAAATTACAGGACATCAAAAGGCTGAAGCTGCCAGGTATATACCCCCCCAAAAGGAAATCAATATATCAAAGAGATAACTGCACTCCCATGTTTATTGCAACACTATTCACAATAGCCAAGATTTGGAATTAGCCTAAGTGATGATCAACAGATGAATGGATAAAGAAAATGTGGTACATATACAAAATGGAGTACTATTCAGCCATAGAAAAGAATGAAATCCTGTCATTTGCAACAACATGAATGGAACTGGAGGACATTATATTAATTGAAATAAGCCAGGCACAGAAAGATGAACTTTGAATATTCTCACTAATTTGTGGGAGCTAAAAATTAAAACAATTGAATTCATGGAGATATAGAGTAGAATGGTAGTTACTGGAGGCTGGGGAGGGTAGTGGGGGCAGTGGAGGGGATCAGGGATGGTTAATAGATACAAAAACCTAGTTAGATAGAATGAATAAGAACCAGTATTTGATAGCACAATAGGGTGACTACAGTCAGCAATAATTTGTTGTACATTTTAGAATAATAGAAGTAGTGCAACTAGAATGTTTATAACATACAGAAATGATGAATGAGGTGATGGATATCCCATTTATCCTTGTGTGATTATTACACACTGTATGCCTGTATCAAAATAGCTCATGTGCCCCATAAATATATATATATACTATGTAACCCAAAAAAATTAAAAATTAAAAAAGGCAAAAGCCAGTAAAGGGATTTCATAAGTCCTTTGTTTTCTATAAAATATAATTACAACCAACATGAAAATATTCACTCATTGCTTCCAGCCCTCTGCTGAAGATGGAATTCAATTTTCTGGTTAGCTCTGGGGTTCCCACTATCATGGTTCTTCTGGGAATGAGAAAATCCAGAGGAATTCTGTGCAGCCTATAGTCAAAGTTTATGAAGGATACCTGGCAATTGTCCCAAAGGAGAGAGGTAGTTTAATTTCTTTTGTTACTGTCCCTTCAGGGCAGACATTATGGGTTCTAGGTATCAGCCTAACTTAGTATTAAGACATAGGAAAATTTTTTTAATTCTATGAAATGGATGGAATGTAAGCCAGTATAATTTCTAAACAAAGGGCAGTTTTTATCATGAAATTTATAACTATGACATATTTTCTCTCCTGTGGAGATATAGAGCCTATATTTTAAGAAAGAAATTCTTTGAATGGAGCTTTCTTCCCATTGAAAGAACAAATTATTGCTTGATGATGTCAAAGAGTCTCTGATCATCAGGGTTTTTCTAGGGTTCCTCATTAAAAAGCTTATGAAAATTTTTCAGTAACATTTATTCATTCAGTCATTCATTTGCTCATCACCTTGGCATGCCCTAAAGAATCTTTGAATTTTCTTTATGTTTTTACACCGTGAATTAAGATACACAGTTATGGACATAGTTATGATAGCTATCCTTCTTTGCATTTTCTCTAGAGAAATACTGCACATTGATATTTATCTTTCTTTGCCACATAGAGTATCCTTTGTAGTATGTGAATACATCTGGATATTACCCTCCTGAAACCTCAAATTTTAGTTGTCTTGCTGTAGATTAGGCTGGTAAATTTGTCCTCATCTTCAATAAATGTGCTAAATCCTTCCTTTAGAAGATAAACCTTCTAGACTAAACTGTAAACAAATCCTTTTAAAAAAAAATCTCAAATCTTTTCCAGAATAAATCTAAGAATTCATTAAGGTTGTGCCTCAAATAAGAAATAAAAATATTACTTGGGTCTACATATATTTCAGCTTCTTCTAAGGAAGCCAATATCAACAAGGTCACATTTCTTTGTTCTTTCCATTGCTAGTTGAGGAAACAAAAATGAGTAAAAATGCTTAAGATACTCCTCGGAGTGTGCTTTGGGAAAACAACACAATCCATACCACATCCACATTTTGATTGATGTGCACAACCTGCTTTCATGTCCCTTAATCAGGGCAGTGCCCAGCTCCACCCATCTTTTTCCTCAATAGACAATGGGGTTACTCAAGCCAACTGGTGATTATGTATACATTTGGGGATTATGCATGCTGTATGTATCTTCAGCTGCTGCTGCTGCTTCAGAAAGGCTGAATATAAGTGATGATAAAATACCAAAGTTGGGGACAGGGCCAAGATGGCTGACTAGAAGGAGAGGTGATCAGAGGCTCCCATTGAAAAGATCCAAAACAGTGTGTGAATCCTGCAATGGCAACCGAGGTATCCAAGTTCTGTCACTAGGACTGACTAGGCACCTGAAATGACCCATGGAGAGGAAGGAAGACCAGTGTAGTGAGGTGGCACACCTGAGAGCCACATGGGGCAGGGGAGCCTCCACCCCAGCCAAGGGAGGCGGTGAGTGAGTGTGCTACCCAGCTTGGGAAACCACACTTTTTCAACGGAACTGTGCAACCCAAGGATTGGAAGATCCCACTCGTGAGTCCACGCCACCGGGTCCTTGGGTCCTAACCACAGAGCCATGCAGATTCTCAACAGCCACTGGGCTAGAATTGGCCTAAACCTGCTGAGTTCCCTGGGGGAGGAGCAGCCATCACCACTGCTGTGTCTGCCTGCTGTCTAAGCCATCTGAGCTCCTTGGGGGAGGGGCAGCAGCCAACCCTGAAGCTGCAGGGCCTCCATGTAGAAACTCCCACTCCAGCCAGGGTCTCAGGGACAGAACTCTGATCTCCATGGGCTTCAGTCCATAGCGGGAGAGGTGGTTGTAGTCTCTGCAGACCAACAGACTTGGTCTTTCCTCCTGCTAGCTCTGAGGAATTAAGGCAGCCCAGGTGAGTGGGTTTCCCCACAGTACAGCACACCCCCTTCACCAAGAGATAGCCAAAGTGCTTTGTTAAACAGGTCCTGCTTCCTGTGCCACCTAACTGAGTGAGACCTATTGCCAGACATCTTATACAGGAGCGTTCCTACTGGCATCAGGTTGATGCCTCTCAAGGTCAGAGATCCCGGAGGAAGGAGCAGGCACCCATCTTTGCTGTTCTCCAGCCTTCTCAAGTGACAGCTCCAGGTGCAGGAGTGAACCAGATGAATAGGGCCTGAAGTGAATGCCCAGCAAACGCAGCAGCCCAACAGAAGAGGGTCCTGACTATTGAAACAAAAACAAACAGAAAGCAACAACAGCAGCATCAACAAGAAAAAGTCCTCACAAAAACTTCATCCAAGGGTCAGCAGCCTCAAAGACAAAACTAGACAAACTCATGAGGATGAGAAAGAATCAACAACAAAAAAATACCCTGAAAACCCAAAACGCCAGAGTACTTCTCCTTCTCCAAATGATTGCAACACCTCTCCAGGAAGGGCACAGAACTGGACGGAGGATGAGATGAACGAATTGACAGAGGTAGGCTTCAGAAAGTGGGTAATAACAAACTTTGCTGAGGTAAAGGAGCAGGTTCTAACCCAATGCAAAGAAGCTAAGAACCTTGGTAAAAGTTTAGAGGAGTTGCTAACTATAATAATCAGTTTAGAGAGGAACATAACCTGATGGAGCTGAAAAACACAGCATGAGAACTTCGTGAAGTGTACACAAGTATCAATAGCTGAATCAATCAAGCAGAAGAAAGGATATCAGAGATGGAAGACTATTTTGCTGAAATAAGGCAGGCAGACAAGAATAGGGAAAAAAGAATGAAAAGGAATGAACAAAACCTCCAAGAAATATGGGACTATGTAAAAAGACCGAACCTACAACTGATTGGAGTACCTGAAAGAGATGGGGAGAATGGAACCAAGTTGGAAAACACACTGCAGGATATTATCCAGGAGAACTTCCTCAGCCTAGCAAGATAGGCCAACATCAAATTCAGGAAATACAGAGAACCCCACTATGATACTCCATGGGAAGATCAACCCCAAGACACATAATCATCAGATTCTCCAATGTCAAAATGACGGAGAAAATGTTAAGGGCAGCCAGAGAGAAAGGCCAGGTCACCTACAAAGGGAAGCCCATCAGACTAACTGGATCTCTCAGAAGAAATCCTACAAGCCAGAAGAGAGTGGGAGCCAATATTCAACATTCTAAAGGAAAATAATTTTCAGCCCAATATTTTATATCTGGCCAAACTAAGATTCATAAGTGAAGGAGAAATAAAATCCTTTACAGACAAGCAAGTGCTGAGGGAATTCATCACCACCAAGCCTGCCTTACAAAAGCTCCTGAAGGAAGCACTAAGTACGGAAAGGAAAAACCAGTACCAGCCACTGCAAAAACACATGAAAATATAAAGACCATGGCACTATGAAGAAACAGCATCAACTATGTGCAAAATAACCAGCTAGCATCATGATGACAGGATCAAATTAAATAATAATATTAACCTAACAATATTAATCTTAAATGTATATGTGATAAATGCCCCAATTAAAAGACACAAACTGGCAAATTGGACAAAGAGTCAAGACCCATTGGTGTGCTGTACTCAGGAGACCCATCTCATGTGCAAAGACACACAGAGACTCAAAATAAAGGGAAGAGATTTACTTGAGAACCAAAAAAATGGAAAGCAGAAAAAAGCAGGGGTTGCAATCCTAGCCTCTGACAAAACAGACTTTAAACTAACAAGGATCAAAAAAGACAAAGAAAGGCATTACATAATTGTAAAGGGATCTATTCAAAAGGAAGAGCTAACTATCCTAAATATATATGCACCCAACACAGGAGGACCCAGATTCATAAAACATGGTTTTAGGGACCTACGAAGAGACTTAGACTCCCACACAATAATAGTGGGAGACTTTAAAACCCCACTGTCAACATTAGACAGATCAACATGACAGAAAATTAACAAGAATATTAAGGACTTGAACTCAGTCCTGGATCAAGTGGATCTAATAGATATCAACAGAAATCTCCACCTCAACACAACAGAATATACATTCTTCTCAGTACCACATGACACTTACTCTAAAATCAACCACATAACTGGAAGTAAAACACTCCTCAGCAAATGCAAAAGAACTCAAATCATAACAAACAGTCTCTCAGATCACAGTGCAATCAGATTAGAACTCAGGATTAAGAAACTCACTCAAAACCACACAACTACATGGAAATTGAACAACCTGCTCCTGAATGACTCCTGGGTAAATCATGAAACTAAGGCAGAAATCAAGAAGTTCTTTGAAACCAATGAGATCAAAGGGACAATGTACCGGAATCTCTGGGGCACAGCTAAAGTAGTGTTAAGAGGGAAATTTATAACACGAAATGCCCACATTAGAAAGCTGGGAAGATCTCAAATAGATACTGTGACATTGCAATTAAAAGAGCTAGAGAAGCAAGAGCAAACAAACCCCAAAGCTAGCAGGAGACAAGAAATAACTAAGATCAGAGTGGAACTGAAGGAGTTAGATACACAAAAAAAACCCTTCAAAAAATCAATGAATCCAGGAACCGTTTTTTCTAAAAAAATTAATAAAATAGATAGTCTACTAGCTAGACTAATAAAAAAGAGAAGAGTAAAGAATCAAATAGACACAATAAAAAATGATAAAGGGGATATCACCACTGACCCCACAAGGATACTATGCCATAAGAGAATGCTATAAATACCTCTATGCAAATAAACTAGAAAATCTAGAAGAAAGGGATAAATTCCTGAACATACACCCTCCCAAGACTAAACCAGGAAGAAGTCGAATCCCTGAATAAACGAATAACAAGTTCTGGAATTGAGGCACTAATAAATAGCCTACAACCAAAAAAAGCCCAGGACAAGATGGATTCACAGCTGAATTCTACCAGCTGTACAAAGAGGAGCTGGTACCATTTTTTTAGAAACTATTCCAAACAATTGAAAAGGAGGAACTCCTCCCTAACTCATTTAATGAGATCAGTATCACCCTGATACCAAAACCTGGCAGAGACACAACAACAAAAAAAAAAACTTCAGGCTAATATCCCTGACGAACATCCATGCAAAAATCCTCAATAAAATACTGGCAAACTGAATCTAGTAGCACATCAAAAAACTTACCCACCATGATCAAGTCAGCTTTATCCCTGGGATGCAAGGCTGGTTTGACATATGCAAATCAATAAACGTAATCTATCACAGAAACAGAACCAATGACAAAAACCACATGATCATGTCAATAGATGCAGAAACAGCTTTCAATAAAATCGAGCATCACTTCACATTAAAAACTCTCAATAAACCTGGTATTGATAGAACATATCTCAAAATAATAAGAGCTATTTATGACAAACCTACAGCCAATATCATACTGAGTGGGCAAAAGCTGGAAGCATTCACTTTGAAAACCAGCACAAGACAAGGATGCCCTCTCTCACCACTTCTATTCAACATAGTATTGGAAGTTCTGGCCAGGGCAATCAGGCAAGAGAAAGAAATAAAAGATATTCAAATAGGAAGAGAGGAAGTCAAATTGTCTCTGTTTGCAGACAACATGACTCTATATTTAGAAAACCCCATCATCTCAGCCCCACAATTCTGTAAGCAGATAAGCAACCTCAGCAAAGTCTCAGGATACAAAATCAATGTGCAAAAATCACAAGCATTCCTATACCCCAACAACAGACAATCAGAGAGCCAAATCATGAATGAACTCCCATTCACAATTGCTACAAAGAGAATAGAATACCTAGAAATACACTAACAAGGGACACGATGGAACTCTTCAAGGAGAACTACAAACCACTTTCAAGAAAATAAAAGAGGACACAAACAAATGAAAAAACATTCCATCCTCATGGATAGGAAGAATCAATATCATAAAAATGGCCATACAGCCCAAAGTAACAGAGATTCAATGCTATTCCCATCAAACTACCACTGACATTCTTCACAGAATTAGAAAAAAACTACCTTAAAATTCATGTGAAACCAAAAAAGAGCCTGCATAGCCAAGATAATCTTAAGCAAAAATAACAAAGCTGGAGGCATCACGCTACCTGACTTCAAACTACACTGCAAGGCTACAGTTACCAAAACAGCATGGTACTAGTACCAAAATAGACATATAGACCAATGAAACAGAATAGAGACCTCAGAAATAAGATCACACATCTAAAACTATCTGATCTTCGACAAACCTGACAAAAACAAGCAATGGAGAAAGGATTCCCTAATTAATAAATGGTGCTAGGAAAACTGGCTAGCATATGCAGAAAACTGAAACTGGACCCATTCCTTACACCTTATACAAAAATTAACTCAAGATGGACTAAAGACTTAAATGTAAAACCCTAAACCATAAAAACCCTAGAAGAAAACCTAGGCAATACCATTCAGGACATAGGCATGGGCAAAGACTTCATGACAAAATTGCCACAAGCAATTGAAACAAAAGCTAAAATTAACAAATGGGATCTAATTAAACTAAAAGTCTTCTGCACAGCAAAAGAAACTATCATAAGAGCGAACAGGCAACCCATAGAATGGGAGAAAATTTTTGCAATCTACCCATTTGACAAAGGTCTAATACTTAGAATGTACAAGGAACTTAAACAAATTTACAAGAAAAAAACAAACCCTGTCAAAAAGTGGGCAAAGTATATGAACAGACACCTCAAAAGAAGACATTTATGTGGTCAACAAACATTTTTAAAAAGCTCAACGTCATTGATTATTAGATAAATGCAAATCAAAACCACAATGAGGTACCATCTCATGCCAGTCAGAATGGCAATTATTAAAATGTCAAGAAACAACAGATGCTAGCAAGGCTGTGGAGAAATGGGAATGCTTTTACACTGTTAGTATAAACAGTGTAAATATTGTTTCTACTATTTATAAATTAGTTCAACCATTGTGGAAGACAATGTGGTGATTCCCCAAGGATCTAGAACCAGAAATACCATTTGACCCAACAATCTCATTATTGGGTATATAATCAAAGGAATATAAATCATTCCAATATAAAGATACATTTACCTGTATGTTTATTGCAGCAGTATTCACAATAGCAAAGAGATGGAACCAACCAAATGCTCATCAATGATAAGCTGGATAAAGAAAATGTGGTAGTACACATCATGGAATATTATGCAGCCATAAAAAGGAGTGAGCTCATGTCCTTTGCAGGGACATGGATGAAGCTGGAAGCCATCATCCTCAACAAACTAACACAGGAACAGAAAACCAAACACTGCATGTTCTCACTCATAAGTGGGAGTTGAACAATGAGAACACATGGACACAGGGAGGGGGACAACACTCACCAGGTCCTGTCAGGTCATGGGGAAGGGGAAGGAGCGCATCAGGACAAACAGCTAATGCATGCAGGGCTTAAAACCTATGTGATGGGTTGACAGGTGCAGCAAACTACCATGGCAGAAATATACCGATCTAAAAACCTGCACATTCTGCACATGTATCCTGGAGCTTAAAGTAAAAAAAAAAAAAAAAAAAAAGAAAATGAAAATATCCTGGACATTTGTAAATATAAAGATGAAGCCTTGTGAGAGGATAGAGCTAAAGTTCTGAGAGGTATAAGCATAAAAATGTGAGTTCAAGATATGAGAAAATATTAAGTTACTGTGAGAAAGAGGAAGAGAACTAGGAAGAGAAACAGAAACAGATAAGATGTAGAGGTAGGAGCATAACTAGGAAAATCTAGTGCCATTGCAGGCAAGAGGAGGGGTTTTCAGATGATGGTACACCATGTCAGATAATTCATATAATCGATGTCAAAAAATATCACTTACAAAAGACCTTTAAATTTGGCAGTTGGGACATTATTAATGACCTCATGCAAACCTCAATGGTGAAGTATTTACAACTACTCACATAACATTCTCTTCTACATAGACAAGTTGGAGGGGAAAAAAGGTAATTTTTTATTCTTTCAGTGAAAGGAAAAATATTCAAAAGTTATCTGAGTGAAGAAAAAAAAGGAGACCTGAGAAGGCCATTCAAGATTTGCCCTAATCTGCCTTCCTTAGGAAGCTTGCCCTGATACCCCCAGAGATGCCAAGGTGCCTGTTCTCCAGGGACCTTATGTCCATGACTAACTGGAACAGACTGGACTCAGTGCCTCAGAGCCAGGGCCTGGGGCTCTTGCCTCTCTATTGATCTAGCATGGTGTCTGACCCAGAGGAGCACATTAAATATTTATGTAATAAATAAATGAATGAAATGTCTATGGATTGGAATGGGGGAACAGGAGGTGTTGATACTTTTTGGCAAAGCCCGGTGAGTCATATGAAAACCTCTTTAATTATAATATATTCACTTTGTGAGGATTGTTACACTTGCTCAAATTTGATAGGCACTTTTATGAAAGATTTTTATTCCTATTCACACACACACAAAACCCCCCACACATCAGTACTGTCAAGACTGACCAGTCTATTTTCCCCTTTAACTGGCAGCATTCATATTCACTTTATTGTGTGAAATAACATTGTTTCCTCTTCCCTTTATCTTGCTTATGTCTGACCTTCCATTAAAAGTTGCTTAGAAACTGCTTAGCAAATAGTCAGGGTGCTCCTCACTGACATCTTCCTTTTGTGACCTGTCAGCTATTCTGTTGGTCCATTCCCTCTCCATAAGCGTTTTTAGGCTTCTTTTTATCTCCTTTCAACAAACAAGACTAAAGCTCAACATTTTCCCTCCATTGAAAGGAAACATCCACTGCCTCTAAAGCTTTGCTGCATGCAAGCAGCCTTCATACACCTGCCAGTTAAGAGGAGAGTAGATTGGCAAAGCTTCCATGGGCTTTTGATTTTTATTAATGGTTTTGCACAGTGTGCTAAGCAAGCCATAAGTTAAAAAAAAAAACGCTCAAAATACAAATTCCATGATGCTCACTGAAATCAACTAGAGTTGGAGGACATGAAATAAGAGGTCATGGGCTTCCTTTCACACAAAAAACAGTGCATAATCCACACTATCCTGTGAATATAAGGCACTTTAGGATGTTAAAATAGAATTCTACCGTACCCAAGGAAAGGCTCTCCCCAGAATTACAGTTTACACTGTAAATACAATTTGCACAACAACAAATCCCTCCTCTGTGTTTCTCAGTATTTCTCCTGATGTAACTGATCACATCGAACTACATGCCAAGGACAATCCTGAAAAGGAAAACAATTCAAAGCAATCTTTATTATATGCCTATTATGGGTTAAATAATATCCTAGAGTCTCGCCAGTAGGTTGTGGTGGTAAGGGGGAAATGGAATAAGAAATAAGAAAGGCACAGTGTCTGCCCTCAAGAAATTTACAGTTATGAGTGAGGAGGGGAATAGAAGTATGTTGCATAATTCTACAATCCTTTCTGTGTTGAGCTGGCTCTATGGACAAAGTACTACAGTGGCAGTGGGAACAGCTAGACAAATTCTGCCTAAAAAGGGGAAGAGAAAGCAGAGGGGGTTAGAGAAAACCTCACATAGATGAATTCAAACTAAGCTTGCACAAAGGGGGTCATATTAGGTGAAAGACACCATAGAGACCTGAGAGGTGTCTATGGAAGAATAGAGGACAAGACCATATTTTTCCTTGAGATTGGAACATGAGAGTAGTACTATTGAGTTGGTTGTTAGCTTCTGACCCAGTCACCTAAGCTAACTTTTCCCTCCCCTACTGCCTGCCTTGCTCAATGGTATTGTGGGCCCTGGGGAAGCTACTCGTATTATATATTCATATATAAGATATGTTATATATAAATACATATAAATATATATTTATACATATAATACATTATAGAAGTCGTAAGTTAAAAAATGAAACTACAAAATTCACGTGTGTGTGTGGTGTGTGTGGTGTGTATGTTTCTGATATTTTCTGGCCATAAACCAGGACAAATAATAATACTGAGACTTTTTTTCAGACTTGCAAGATTATTTTTATGAAAATCTGTAGGGATATTATTAAGCAAGCACATGCTACATACTATCCTCATTGTAAGGATCGTAGGAAGAAATTTCTTCCTGATTTTAGTATTAGGAATGGTTGTGCTTCCCTTGAGCACCTAGGCACTGACTTAAATTTTCCCATTGACTGCTCATAAGTTTTGCATCAACACTGTGTCACATAGTAGCAAGTATACAAAGTCTGCTCCTATATATTGTTGTGCTAGACACAATCCTGGCTGTACTTTAAAATTGTATATCCCTATACTTGCTTGTTCTTTTCTTTCTTATTAATCATAATTTTGTGTAATTTTCTATTTTATATATCCTTTAAATCTTTTTTGGAAACATATAGATGAGAAACATGAAAATAAAATAAATATATTTAAAAGTAGATGGATTTAATAAATCTTGTTTACTGAAAATAATCATTCAATTATTTAATTTCCCAGGAAAACTAAAGAGGTAACTTTTGGTTTAAGCCCAGCTGCTGACAGATGAGTACTTTACATTCTTGTTACTGCTTTGTTATTACCCTTATATAAGTGAAACTGGAAATTCAAGGTTAAAAGTTGACTTTCCATGCCTGTAATTCCAAGTTACTACCACATATAATATTAAACAGAACTTTAAAGCATTAGATAATCATAAGAACAATGATCTGAAGAGAGTATTCAGCAATCTGGCTGAGAAAATTAGTGTCTTTGAAAAGCCCTGCTATTTTTTAAAAATTCTGAATACTGTACTCCATAGAAATTAATGCTTGGGAGACAGTTTCCACTATATTTTTTATCATGTATTAATGTTCTGCCATTTTGTCAAGTCCAGGCTTATACTTGACATTTGTCTCTTTTAAATTGAAAACAAATGTTACATAAGTTTGGAAGAACACAGCATTTCCCAGAATGAAATGATTTTTCAAAAAATGCTTATGCTTTGATTGAAAGTCCTGCTTTTTCCACAGAAACAAAAAAAGTCCATTTGCCTCTCAGTTTTTTTCTCCTCTTTTGTTTGCCCACTTTCAGAATAGTCACACATCAAGAAATTGGAGCTCTCCATAATGTCCAGAATCAGAAGCCGAAGAGTTTCTGTGCAGAGCTAACCTCTATATACAAATTGCCAGTGTTTTCAATTTCCTTCACTTTCTTGCTGAAAAAGAGAAGGAAACAGCTATTCATTAAGCACCTACCACATGGCAGGTGTTTTTCTGAGTGCTTTGTGTACATTATCTCCCTTAATCCTCATAGTAACCCTATGAGGAAGACAGTTTTATCCTCATTTTATAGCTCAGGAAACTGAAGCTCAGGGAGGATAAGTAACTTGCCCTGGGTCACCCAGCCACTGGATGGATTATTACCTTGGGCCTATCTTACTGCAAAGCACTTCGGCCCTTACACAAAACATGCCACCTCCCACCTTGCACATGGCTTGCAAGACCTTTTCTATTTTCACTCTGATGTTTTAACCTTGCTTATAGATTTTCATTTTGAGCTATATAAATCTTCTACTAAGGTCCTTTTAGTTGAGTTTCAGGTTCCTTTTATTTATTCTAAAACATTTTTATTTCTGGGTAAGCAGGGTAATTTTTCCTTATAGTAAATTTTAGATCACATTGTTATTATGAAAATACATTTCAAGGATCATTGTAACCTAATTTAAAAATTAAGTTATTAACAAAAACTAGCATTAGCATCAAATTAAGAAAAAAAATACATAGCAACAACAACATATTGAGAGTTTTTTCTCTTTTATTCTCCGTTTCTGGGAGTCTATTGCTACATAACAAATTATAGTCATGCACCTTTTGGTCAACAACAGACTGCATATACAATGGTGGTTCCATTAGAATATAATATCATATTTTTACTGTACCTTTTCTATGTTTAGATATGTTTAGCTACACATATATTACCATTGTGTTACCATTGCCTACGGTATACAGTAAAGTAGCATGCTACACAGGTTTGAAGCCTAGCAGCAATAGGCTACATCATATAGGTTAGGTGTGTAGTAGGCTATACCATCCAGGTTTGTGTAAATACATCCTGTGATGTTTGCACATCCTAACAACACATTTCTCAGGATGTGTCCCCATCATTAAGCAACACATGGCTGTACTACAAAAGTTAGCAATGTGAAGCAATAACAATTTTATTATATCACATAATTTTTGTGAGTCAAAAATTTGAGTAGGGCTTAGCAGGCCCACTTTTCTGTTCTATATGGCTTGGATTAAAGTCACTGGCTAGTGCTCAGCTGGCTGATTGGCTGACTTGGAGAGTCCAAGGCAGCTTCACTCAAGTCTGTGTCTTGGGATGGCTGGAAAGCTGGGCTCAGCTGGGATTGTCCACGGAAGCATCTACACTAGCTTCCTGCACATGGTGATTTCAGTGTCATCAGGCTTCCTACACAGTGGGTCAGGGCTTCCAGAGAAAGTTTCTCAAGAGTTAAAAAGTGAACTGGTCCTGGAGACTAGCACAGCACTGCTTCTGCTATATTCTGTTGTTTAGTTGGGAAGAAAAGGTACCCTACTCCTGGATGGAAGGAGCGTCAAAAGATTTTGTAGCTAACTTTATCACAACCATATTTTCTGTATAAAATATATATTCTAAGAGGCTGATTATATAATACAAACTTTAAATTTATCCATTGATAGGCAATATTGTAAAAGCTTTATTGGAGGGTTAGCCTAATAAAAGGTATTAGAATTGTCAATTAAACAAGACAAAAAACATTAAAATCAAAACAAAAATCTCATGAGAGTAAAAATATTCTCCAATGTCCAGTTTAGTGCAGCTTGAAGAAACAGTAAATAAAACTCTTTGTGTCTTATTAAACATCATGATTCTTGTGCTAGTTGTTTATTTCTATTTTCTTTCTCTAAGGTAGAAGATGATTTACAAACCAAATATTAGCCTTGAGTGGCTTCTACGTAAAATTGGCAAAAATTCTAGTTCCCTAAGCATGAAGTTTAGTTTATTTATTTATTTATTTAAAATTTTCTTTAAAATTATACTTTAAGCTCTGGGGTACATGTGCAGACTCTGCAGTTTTGTTACATAGGTTTACATGTGCCATGGTGGTTTGCTGCACCCATCAACCCGTCACCTATATCAGTTATTTCTCCTAATGCTATCCCATCTCTAGCCCCCTACCTCCCTACAGGCCTGAGTGTGTGATGTTCCCCTCACTGTGTCCACATGTTCTCATTGTTCAAGTACCACTTATGAGTGAGAACATGCGGTGTTTGGTTTTCTGTTCTTGTGTTAGTTTGCTGAGAATGATGATTTCCAGCTTCATCCATGTCCCTGCAAAGGACATGAACTTATCCATTTTTATGGCTGCATAATATTCCATGGTGTATATGTGTCACATTTTCTTTAACCAGTCTATCATTGATGGATACTTGGGTTGGTTCCAAGTCTTTGCTATTGTGAATAGTGCCACAATAAACATATGTGTGCATGTGTCTTTATAGTAGAATGATTTATAATCCTTTGGACATATACCCAGTAATGGGATTGCTGGGTCAAATGGTATTTCCAGTTCTAGATCCTTGATGAATCACAACACTGTCTTTCACAATGATTGAACTAATTTACACTACCACCAACTGTGTAAAAGTGTTCCTATTTCTCCACATCCTCTCCAGCATCTCGTTTCCTGAGTTTTTAATGATTGCCATT
Source organism: Homo sapiens (assembly GCF_000001405.40). Lineage (NCBI taxonomy): Eukaryota > Metazoa > Chordata > Mammalia > Primates > Hominidae > Homo > Homo sapiens. The sequence continues at coordinate 117,122,879 of NC_000006.12, forward strand.
CTAACTGCCATGAGATGATATCTCATTGTGGTTTGATTTGTATTTCTCTAATGACCAGTGATGATGAGCATTTTTTCATATGTTTGTTGGCTGCATAAATGTCTTCTTTTGAGAAGTGTTTGTTCATTTCCTTTGCACACTTTTTGATGGGATTTTTTTTCTTTAAATTTGTTTAAGTTCTTTGTAGATTCTGGAAATCAGCCCTTTGCCAGATGGATAGATTGCAAAAATTTGCTCACATTCTGTAGGTTCCTGTTCACTCTGATGAGAGTTTCTTTTGCTGTGCAGAAACTCTTTAGTTTAATTAGATCCCATTTGTCAATTTTGGCTTTTGTTGCCATTGCTTTTGGTGTTTTACACATGAAGTCTTTGCCCATGCCTATGTCCTGAATGGTATTGCCTAGGTTTTCTTCTAGGATTTTTATGGTTTTAGGTCTTAAGTTTGAGTCTTTAATCCATCTTGAGTTAATTTTTGTATAAGGTGCAAGGAAGGGATCCAGTTTCAGTTTTCTGCATATGGCTAGCCAGTTTTCCCAATACCATTGATTACATAGAGAATCCTTTCCCCACTGCTTGTTTTTGTCAGGTTTGTCAAAGATCAGATAGTTGTAGATGTGTGGTGTTATTTCTGAGGACTCTGTTTTATTCCATTGGTCTATATGTCTATTTTGGTACCAGTACCATGCTGTTTTGGTCACCGTAGCCTTGTAGTATAGTTTGAAGTCAGGTAGCGTGATGTCTCTGGCTTTGTTCTTTTTGCATAAGATTGTCTTGGCTATGAGGGCTCTTTTTTGTTTCCATATGAAGTTTAAAGTAGTTTTTTTCCAATTCTGTGCAGAAAGTCAATGGTAGCTTGATGGGGATAGCAGTGAATCTATAAATTACTTTGGGCATTATGGCCATTTTCACAATATTGATTCTTCCTATCCATGAGCATGGAATGTTTTTCCATTTTTTTGTGTCCTCTTTTATTTCCTTGAGCAGCGGTTTGTACTGCTGAATTCTACCAGAGGTACAAAGAGGAGCTGGTACCACTCCTTCTGAAACTATTCCAAACAACAGAAAAAGAGGGAATCCTTCCTAACTCATTTTATGAGGCCAGCATCATCCTGATACCAAAACCTGGCAGGGACTCAATAAAAAAGAAAATTTCAGGCCAGTATCCCTGATGAACATCAATGCAAAAATCCTCAATAAAATACTGACAAACTGAATCCAGCAGCACATCAAAAAGCTTATTCACCATAATCAAATCAGCTTCATACCTGGGAGGCAAGGCTGGTTTAACATATGCAAATCAATAAACGTAATCCATCACATAAACAGAACCAACGACGAAAACCACATGATTATCTCAATAGATGCAGAAAATGCCTTCGACAAAATTCAACAGCCCTTCATGCTAAAAACTCACAATAAAGTAGGTATTGATGTGATGTATCTCAAAATAACAAGAGCTATTTATGACAAACCCACAGCCAATATCATACTGAATGGGCAAAAACTGGAAGCATTCCCTTTGAAAACCAGCACAAGACAGGGATGCCCTCTCTCACCACTCCTATTCAACATAGTATTGGAAGTTCTGGCCAGGGCAATCAGGCAAGAGAAAGAAATAAAAGGTATTCAAATAGGAAAGGAAGAAGTCAAATTGTCTCTGTTTACAGATGACATGATCATGTATTTAGAAAACCCCATCTTCTCAGCCCAAAATCTCCTTAAGCTGATAAGCAACTTCAGCAAAGTCTCAGGATACAAAATCAATGTGCAAAAATCACAAGCATTCCTATATACCAGCAACAGACAAACAGAGAGCCAAATCATGGGTGAACTCCCATTCACGATTGCTACAAAGAGAATAAAATACATAGGAATATGACTTACAAGGGATGTGAAGTTTATTTTTAAAATCTTTTGGTGTTCTCTCAAAGGCTGCTGGCTTTGAGCAAAAGTTTCTTCCCCCTTCTACAGTAATAGGCTTGGTTGCATATGTGACAGTCTAGGTCTGAGGTTGGCAGGATGTCTGTCTGTTTTGTACATGAAGTTTAATTAAAGCAGTCATAACTATTCTTTGACTGTTGTGTATAACTGCTTTTATACTACAATAGTAGAGTCTGGCTACAAAGTCTAAAATATTTACCACTGGGTCCTCAACAGAAAAAGTTTGTTGACCACTGGTCTAGGTCTCAAGTTCCCAGCCTCCTTTGTAGTTAAGTCTGGCAATGGAACTAATACCTTGCCAATGAGTGGAAGTGGTATGCCACTTAAGTTTGGCTTCTTGGGACAATGGAGAGCCCTTCTCTCACCATCTACAACCCAATGTGACAGCAACTTAGTTTCCCCCCATGCAAACAAGGACAATGTCCTAAGGGATGGCAGAAAAATAAAATGAGAATAACCTTGTTCTCCGGATGACTACGTGGAGCATAATGATCCACCAATTCGGATCACCCTCCCTGAATTTTCACATGAAAAGTAAACTATCAACTTTAAACCACTGAAATAGTGTTAGTTTCTTTATTAAAGCAGTCGAGTCTTAATCTAAGATAGCTTCACAATTTCAACTACTAGTAAAATATGTAAATTATCATTTAAGTTGATCAAAACCAGAGGTCATTAAATCCAGAAAAGAAGTTCCATCTAATTCATCGTTTTCATATGTCATGTAAGGGTAGTTAGGGATTGTTTGTCTTCAGTAAATGGTCTACAGAAGAAAAAAAGCATGAAAATCAAAATTGTAATGAAACTGTACTCTGTGCCCCACAACATTACAGATCAGATTAACATCTGTCCCTTCCAGCTACTTTATGAATATGAAGGCAAAACAGACATCCAAGGAGAATCTGCTTAGGCATTTACAACAATTTGATTCTATCAGCTTCAATGCCTTAACACTAAATTTGTGTATTCTTTTCATCTTTTTACATAAGATTAAGGAATCCATATCATCTATGGCTAACTAGAATGATGGTGACACAGGAAATAAGTTATATATTGATCATTTGTGCAAATAATATTGACATCCAACTACTATAGCCCAAGGGTTAAAGTCAAAAAGTCAACTCCAAATGTATGCTGAGATGGCATGCATCCCATGCTTCCTCTGTCTAATTTTTTTTGCTTATAATGATTTAATACATAAATTATACCTCTATTTCCCATTCTTGGTTTCATGCATTGTTCTTTTGGGGGATTGAATAAACACCAGAGAGATAAACATATAAATAGATCCTCAGATATCCACCATCAAATTTAAATGGTTAACCAATAATTAAGAGTTCCAAACGGAACTCAGAAGCCTTGCTCGGTAAGTCAGGAAGAGTCTGGGCAACCTTGTGCTCTGGGGACTTTATGCTTTGTACCTTTATTGTTAGATTTGTACACCATTTCCTTGAATGCCAAATTTAGGCATCCTTCCTAATTAATGATCTTTTCAAGCCCTTTTCAGAAGCCATTGGATTTTGATTAGGTCACAAAGGAAGGCTTTCTCTCTTAGGCACATAGTTTTCTGTATCCTTAGCAGTTAATTGAGTAGCAGAATAATGGTTTCCTTACAGAAAGGCTCGCAGACTGCACAGAGAGGTTGATGCCTCTTTAGTCACTGGGAACTTCAGTGACATTCAATAATGGTTGATAAATTTAAGCCCAGAATTAGAGACCAAGTTAATGTATTTGGACATATCTCAAGCTGATGTTTCCTAAGCAGCTGGCTCAGTGAAAGGATATGGAGGCTGGCTCTAGGCCTCTGCTTTCTTTCTGGGTGAATTTTCCATTACACTCCTATTCCTATACCTCACTGCTACATAGAAGGAACCAGAAATAGCTACTCCTTCTAGAAATTAGATAGTTTTCATTTATACAGAGCAAACTTTTCTGTGTAAAGTGCAAGGGTTCCCAAATTTGGGCAGAAAAATTGTGTGTGTGTGTGTGTGTGTGTGTGTGTGTGTGTGTGTATTCCTCTCCTTACCCAATTATAGCTAAAACCATGGTTTATTATTTGCTGATCTTTCAAGCAGAGTGAAAGAAGAAGCAATAGTCTCTTCTTTTAATTTTAGTCATCTATGTTGACTTTCCCACCTGGTAAAAAATATAGGGGACCACTTAGCCCTAAGCCACATAGAAAAATTATCCACAAAACAGATTAGCATTTCTATGGAAAACATACAGAAATAATTAAAATCAAGGAAAAGGTAATCAATTCAAATATTTAATTTTTGAGAATGATAAGAGAAAAATGAAATTGTTCTCTAATATCATAGAAGTCATCCCAGTATTTGTGTTCACTAGGTCATAGGGATCAAAGAGGTCCAGTATCTCTCTGATGTATAATTCAGACAATATGAGAAGTCCCTGACCAGGGCAAGGCCCTTTCTCTCTTCTCTCTCTCTCTCTTTCTCTCTCTCTGTGTGTGCATATACATATATATACACACACATATATATGTATATCTGTATTACAATGCCTATGTGTATATATATATGTCTGTATTACAGTGCATATATATATAAAATCCCTGGTCTGTCACTAAACTCCACTAGAATAACAATAAAAGAACAATAAGAGGTATTTAAAACATTAATTCCTACATATGAATAGTTAAGACACTTAGATCGAAAATAGGTGTAAAAGTCCCCACTGTCTTATCAGAGTTGAGAAAGCTAACTGAGGCGCTGAGAGTGGGAGGCAGGTGGACTGTAAGCCCATGAAAATTTCTGGGCTTCAAAGACTGATAAAATCACCACAGTGAGTGGTGGAGTTGAAAATGGAAGAATTTGGTTAAATATTTGTGTCAGTAGCATTTGGACTCAGTCCCTGCCTTGCCAACGAAACATCCTAGTATCTGTCCTTTTCTACTCTCGCAAGAGAAGAGATTTTATTTGGTAGAGACTTGAAACAGGAATTCTCTCCCTTACTGAAAAAGAATAGGATTAAGTAAAGCTTCAGTATCCCCAGGGAAATTAACAAAGCTATTGAAAACATAAAATCAGAACAAAATATCATTAAAAACACAGAGAAGAGTATCAACATTTCTCTCTTCAAGGAAATACTTGGTTTTTTAAAAATTTGTATACGTTTTTCCCCAAAAAGGTGCGAGAGTATTATAAATAAAATACTTTCAATCATGGTTATAACAGTTTTATTAATAAGTGTTTATATTTTCAATACACAAGTTAATAAGTTCACTGTAAATACTTAACCTTTATGAATTTATGAATTTACTAATTTATTAATTAAATTATAAATATTTTAAGGCTCATTATTTTTCAAAACCTTTTAAGAGGTATTTAAGCACAAACATGTATTGCAGTGCTAATCCTCATAGGTGATGAAATGGCTGACTTAACAGAAAGTTGCTTACATTTTTGATAATTGCCTGAAGTTAGTCTCAAAGAGACTGAACAATAGTGAGACAAGAGCAATTTTTACTGAGTAAGTTCTTTCGGTTTTCAGAGAAACAAGCAAAATCCACCAAAATCATCTTAACTCTTTCTAAAATTCCTTTTGAGATTGATTTCTTATTTTATTTCAGAAAAGCTGTAGGATTATCAAGGAAAAAAGTGACATTTGAGAAGCTCTAAAAGGGTGAGTAGATTTTTTTATCTGTAACATTGAAAGAGGGAATAATATTCTAACAGGCACAAACATCGTGAAATCATTGAGCTAGCTAAGTATAATGTGGTTGGTATCCTAACATGTGTTATATTTTACTCAGACAGCATCCATTCCACATCCTCCCACTCCCGATTTCCATTTAAACAAGTACCCATCCCATTTTATATCATCATTGTGGGATAGTGAATCTAGGTGTTTGCCATCCCAGAACAAAATCCAAAGGAGTCCTAGATCCCATCTCTACCAGGTTCCATCTCTTGTCAACACAAATCAGCATAAGAGTAGGAATGAGACCCAAGCTTGACCAGCCAATGGGTAATTGCAGTCATTAGGGTTTTGGAGTAAAACCATGCACCCATTAGCTATTAACCATTCTCCTATTTCAAAATAATTGCTGGCTGACTCCAGGCCTGTGGCAGAGACTGAATCCATGAACAGAGTACATAAGACAATCATGACACCCAAGATAGTCATCATGAATTTGGGGTTTTCTGGTTCACTGTTGCCACAGGGCCCATTATCAGTGCTTTTCACTGACCTGTACAATAAGGCAATTTGTGCTTTGGCATACCCAGTGCCCAGCACAATATTTGACATTTAAAAGGCACTCAATAAAAATATAATTGAAATAAATTCATGAAACTCTCAATAACAGTATTATTTATTAATAAATTTGAAAAAATGCTGAATGGATTATTAGTATCCTTTCATTAACAAATATGCAGATGTCATTACATCTTTGACTTTTGGTCTAAATCTTTTAACTAGACTTTCTGTAACAGGTATTAAATTTTAAGAAATCAATATTCACTCATTTTGAGTATTTATTATGTGTCAAGTATAAGATACTAAAGAACAGTAACTATCCAACCTAAATTTAATGATGATTTAGACTTGCTCTGTAGCTAATATTTCAAGTTTAAATCTTGTATTGCAGAGAAAAAGGCTAGAACGAAGGGAAAATGTTGAATCCATTGACCTTGAGTAAAATTTCCCAATTTTATACCAAGCATATAATGGTGCTGACCTGAGTTGGAAATGCCTGAGATAGCTTCCTTGTCCATTTTCCCTTAACACAAGGTTACTAAGCAACATCTTCACATAAAACAAAATACGTGGGATCAGATTGTGCCCACAACTCCTGGCAAAGACTGCAATATGTAATAATGTTGAATTGTGCTTTTCACTGATGTTATACAATATAAGAATTTCTTTTCAAGACATTTCAAGGTGACTCTACTTCTGTATGTCTAAGTCAGTTAATTCATCTCAGAAAGACATCTATTCTACCACTGAAATATTTCTTAGTAGGCTCGTGTAACATGGTCAGACAGTGAAAAACTGAGGGTGCTTACACAGGAGACTAGAGAGAAGAGGAGGGTAGAAAAAAGGGGACAAATGAATGTTGAGGACAGCTTCATGCCAAGGACTGCGTATTAATTATTTCAGGTGATTCTCATAGAAATTCTGTGTAGTGGGTATTATTATTTCTTACAGATGAGAGAAAACAGAAGTTAGAAGTCACTAAACTGGATCGAGATTATACTAGGCCTTAGGGGAAAAGTATCTTCTATTTACTGTATTTCAACATTAAAATATAATTATCTTTATATATTTATTAAGCATTGTGATGGATTGCATTATTTTTATACACATTTGTATCCACATCTCTTAGTAGTGCCATTAATAACTACTTAGTAGTAGCTTGGCCAGTATTTGCTTTAGCCATGAGAAAGTACAAACGCAATGCAAGCAGAGGTTTGAAAATCACTTGCATATTTCCTCTTTGGCCACCTGCTAGCACCACAAAAACAAAGTTAGACTCACATGAAACTGCCTGAAGTAGTGCAAAGTCATCCTAGACAAATCCACAGGGCAGTCGGCCCCAACCAACCAATCAGCAGAATCATAAGCAAGGCCAGCCAGGATCAGCAGAACTCTTCAGACAAACTGTAGATTTAGAAGAAATATTAAATCATCATTGCTTTAAGCCCCTAAGTTCTGGAGTGTTCTGTTAAGGAACAATAGCCAACTAATATAAGAATCCACACTATATAACATACTTTTCAATTAGTGCACATAGAAAATTATACAGACATGGTATTTATTTTCAGTCACATCACTGAACAGCGTGGAACACCTACAGAATGGGAGAAAATGTTTGCAATCGATCCATCTTACAAAGATCTACAAGGAACTTAAATTTACAAGAAAAAAAAACCCATTAAAAAGTGAGCAAAGGATATAAACAGACACTTCCCAAAAAAAGACATACATGTAACTAATAAACATATGAAAAATAAGCTCCATATCACTGTTCATTAGAGAAATACAAATCAAAACCACAATGAGATACCATCTCTTGACTGTCAGAATGGCCATTATTAAACGTCAAAACCAATAGATGCCAGCAAGGTTGCGGAAAAAAAAAGGAATGCTTTTACACTGTTTTTGGGAGTGTAAATGAGTTCAACCATTGTGGAAGACAGTGTGGTGATTCCTCAAATACCTAGAGGCAGAAATACCATTTGACCCAGCAATCCCATTACTGTGTATATAACAAAGGAATATAAATCATTCTATTGTAAAGATACATGAACACATATGTTCATTGCAGCACTGTTCACAATAGCAAAGATGTGGAATCAACCCAAATGATAGACTGGATAAAGAAAATGTGGTACATATACACCATGGAATACTATGCAGCCATAAAAAGGGACAAGTCCTTTGCAGTGACTTGGATGGAGCTGGAAGCCATTATTCTCATCAAACTAATTCAGGAACAGAAAACCAAACACTGCATGTTCTCCCTTATAAGTTAGAGCTGAACAATGAGAATACGTGGGCACATTGCAGAGAAAAACATGCATTGGAGCCTGTTGGGGCAAGTGGAGGGAGAACATCAGGAAGAACAGATAACTGATGCTGGGCTTAATACCTAGGTGATGGCATGATCTGTGCAGCAAACCACTATCGCACATGTTTACCTTTGTTAACAAATCTGCATATCCTGTACATGTACCCCTGAACTTAAAATAAAAGTTGAAGAAAAAAAAGAATGGAACATTATTTCCCATAAAATATTTAAAAGTAGAAGAAACAATATAAATGTATATTTATATGTATGTATGTGCACATATGTACATACTTAATGTATTTGGGGATTAATATTTATAATCATCATCTTTCCAAACACTTAATGTGTTCTTGCTATGTTCCAGGACAAAAGATAGGCATTAAGGATGAATAAAGCAAAGACCCTTCCCTCAGCAAGCTCATAGTCAAATAGTGGAGACATACATGTCCACAGTTGCAAAAGAGTATAAATGCTAAAAGACATATACTCAAGGCAATATTGGAGCCCAAATGTAAATAGGATCAATTTTGCCTGCAAAGATGAGGAGCTTCACCAAGGAGATAGTCTGCAATAGGTACTGAAGGATTTATTAGTCAGGGTTCTCCAGGGGGACAGAACTAATGGAATGAATATATATATATATTTTCCATATATATTGTATATTTGATATATACAATATATGGAATATATATGGAATATTATATATTATATATATTATATGGAATATACATATAATGGAATACATATATAATGGAATACACACACATATATGTATATAAATACATATGTATATACGTATGTATATAAATACATATGTATATACGTATGTATATGTATACATATATACGTATATACATGTATATACGTATGTATATGTATACATATATACATATATACATGTATATACGTATGTATGTATATGTATACATACATATACATATACATGCATATACGTATGTATGTATATACATATATACATACATACGTATATGTGTGTGTGTGTGTATATATATATATAAAGGGGAGTTTATTAAGTATTAACTCACATGATCACAAGGTCCCACAATAGGCCGTCTGCAGGTTGAGGAGCAAGGAGAGCCAGTCCGAGTTCCAAAACTGAAGAACACCAAAACTCTAATGACTATAATTACCTATTGGCTGGTCAAGCTTAGGTCTCATTCCTACTCTTATGCTGATTTGTATTGACAAGAGGTAGAACCTGGTAGAGATGGGATCTAGAACTCCTTTGGATTTTATTCTAGGGTGGCAAACACCTAGATACACTATCCCGCAATGATGATATAAAATGGGATGGGTAATTTTTTAAATGGAAATTGGGAGTGGGAGGATGTGGAATGGATGCTGGCTGAATAAAATATAACACATGTTAGGATACTAACCACATTATACCTAGCTCTCTCAATGTTTGAGGGAGAAAGATGTGGGTTGGGAGGCTAGGCCAGTCTCTCTTTTCGCATTCTTCTGCCTGCTTTTACTCTAGTCATGCTGACAGCTGATTAGATTGTGCCCACACAGATTAAGAGTGGGTCTGCCTTTCCCAGCCCACTGATACAAATGTTAATCTCCTTTGGCAACACCTTCACAGACACACTCAGGATCAATACTCTGTATCCTTCAATCCAATCAAGTTGACAGTATTAATCATCACAAGGATAAACAAAATTTTAAGAGAAAAATAAAAATATTTATTCCAGACAGAAAAAATAGTACACACTAAAACACATAATGACAAGAGGGTTCGGAGAGAAATGTGTATGCCAGTGTGACTTGGGGTATGACGTGCCCAAAAACACAGTAATGAATGAAACTGGAAAGGCAAGTTGGGACAAAACTGGAAGAGACTGAAGAATATAAACTAAATTTTATCCCAGTGACAGCAGGAGTCATTACATGGTTTGGAGTGGGTAAGTGATATGATCAGATCTGGATTTTAGAGAAAGCTATACTGGAGGGACGATTTTCCCATTCCTTTTCTCCCAAACTTGGTCAAGAAAGACAAGGTTCTTAACTTATCTCTCTAGGAAAATATTTGTGAGTTATTATATTTTACAATTCTTTTTTCTCTTTTACTCAATTTGGTGTTCCATTTAACATTCAGGTTTTCATTAAGAGTATATAAAAAAAAGCATTACAAGACCTAGTTAGCCAAAGACAGCCACAATTAATATAGTCAACCTTGGCTTGTGAATCTGGGTAAATAAGCCTCTATAATGCTGATAGAATCTTTGCTTTTCAAACCTCACTGACCAGTTTATACTCAGGTAAGTTTTCCTCATGTGATGCTATGTCAGCCATCGATGCTCTCTCTAATCTTAGAGAAGAGAATGAAATTCCAGCAAAGTTTAATAATTCCCATGAGTGAATGTTGATGTAATCAATCTGGAATAAAGACTGACTTCAGAGAGATCCTCAGTAAAAAGAAAGTTCTGCAATTCATAAAACAGTTATTTCAGTAAAATGTAGTCTTTCATAAGAAAAATAGCTCCAGCTTCTTTTTCTTGTAATAAAAGATTTCGATTGGCATTACATATATCTCTGTCAGTTTTCTCTGCTCTCTGTGGGGGCCTAGGAAGAATATTCTGCTGTTTTTGTAAAATGCTCTTGATGTCTGAGGCAAGCCCTTCCAGAAGACTTACAAGCTCTGTCATTAACTGAGCAAGGCTTGCTTTGAGTCAAGAGGGAGTTATGGTCCTGGATCCTGCCTCAGAAGTGAGAAATCATCTGTGAATTTATCATTTTTGTTTTTCTGGTTCACTTCTTTCTGTTACTTTAGAGGGCCTGATAAAAGTTTTCTTTTAAAAACCTATTGCACGGGGCACAGAGGCTCATGACTGTAATCCTAGCACTTTGGGAGGCTAAGAGAGGTGGATCACTTGAGCCCAGGAGTTTGTGACCAGCCTGGGCAAGATAGCAAGATCCCATCTCTACAAAAAATACAAAAGAAAGGAAAAGTAGCACAGGCCTGTAGTTCCAGCTACTCAGGAGGCTGAGGTGGGAGGATTGCTTGAGCAGGAAGGTGCTGGCTCCAGTGAGCTGGGACTACACCACTGCACTCCAGCCTGGCAGGCACAGCAAGACCTAGTCTCAAGAAATAAAATAAATTAAATTAAATTTAAAAATTAAAAGCCTATTGCATCAAGGAACTACAGATCATTCTGTCATCAGAGTGCTTGTCAAGAACTGTCTTTTAGAGATACTGAAAATCCCAATGGCTGTTAGAATGAGAAACTAGGGAAGAGAGGGTGAGAAGCCTATAGCATCCTACTCAAATTCACATGGGAAGTTAGGCAGAGAACATGAATGAGTGAAATTAAGCAAGTGAGGCCTGCAGCAAACTTGAGTGTTCCTGCCTGACTAAAGGAGAAAGCTTCTTACATACACAGCAGATTACAGCCAGGAGGAATGTAGGTTGCCAGATGCTCCAATTATTTCAAGAGGAATGGAAATTTTTTAATTTTAATGTAAAATATCCCAATTTTTAATGTGCCAATTGAAACATCTGTGAGTGGGATGTAGCCACTGGGCTGCCTGATTTCCACCTCCAGCCTCAAGGGACAAATAGCAAAAAGGAGATACACAAGGAAGAAAGGAAGTCCTCAATATGTCCAAGATGCCTTCAGATGTCTGAAGATAATAAAAGACCCCTGAGTTTAGGAAAGCCAAGGCCCTGCCCCATCATAATGTGAGACACTCTAGAGAGAGTTATTTGGAGGATGTTGAGTCCCAGAAAGTTAGCTAGAGGAAGGAAACACTATGAAAGCATGCAATATAACTTACTGCAATGATGAATAAAATTCTCTATAGTTCTGCCAGACAATAAAGTAACCCCTAGACACGTAGTTAATGAGCACTTGAAATATGGATAGTGTAATGAAGAACTGAATTTTCCATTTTATTTAAGTCATTTAAATTTAAATAGCTACACTTAGCTACTGGCTATCATTTTTGGGTAGCATAGCTCTAGAAGCTCAAGTGTGTGGTTCTCAAAGTTTAGCATGCATCAGAATCACCTGTAGGGTTTGTCAGAACAGGTCACTGAAACCCACCTCCAGAGTTTCTGATTGAGTGGGTATGGAGTGGGGATCCCAGGATTTGCAATTACAGCAAGTTCCCTGGTGATTCTGATGCTGCTGGCTCACACGTTGAGAACAACTAAACAAACTGTTACCCAACTTCCAGGTTCCCAGGACAAAGTTATTGCTGGTTAAAAAAAAGAGAGAGAGAGAGGAAAGAAAAGAAAGAAACACACAAACGCATGCACACGCGTGGGCGCTCGCACACGCGCGCGCGCGCGCACACACACACACACACACACACACACACACGCTAGTTCTAACTGGATTTCCTTTTCCTAGAATTGCCTCTACTACAGAAGAAGGTCAGAAACAGAGAAGGTGGAGCTCATCAAGGCCATGAATGATTTTGCTCTGTCTTGGAAAATAAGATGATGTTTGGTTTTAAATCAGAACATAGTGCATACCTGCCTGTGTGGCCCTGAGTCTTAGTTCCACTCCAGCAGGAGGCAAAAGAGAAAATCCTATATCTTCATGACCAAAGTGGACACCTGGCAAAACCCATATATAAGGAAACTTGACTAGCTTTTTTTCTTGCTATGCATAGTATTAGCAAAGCACCTAATTTATCCTAGGAATGTACTACTATATATCAGTGTAGGTCAACTGCAGCCTCAATCCATGGAAACCACGTATTTCAGGAGCAGGGAAGAAATGAAAGTCTCCTAATCCTCCTTCTAACTATCTACTCATTTAAAACTAGAAATATCAGGATCTCCTGTTGTAATACAGCCAAAGAATTTCGAAGACATGACTTTTGTGTCTTAGTCCTAATACTATAAATAAACTTATTCAAGGTGAAGGAATATCATCTAGCAGGTTGGTGGGGAGAGGGGATGGAAAGAAATCTTTCAGATGCCTCCATATCTCTTGGTGAGTCCAAAAGTTTACTCACTTGAAGGTTTCTCAGTGTTATAAGGAGCAAAGTATTTTAATCTCATTATCTACATTAAATTATCAGCATTCTTTTCATCTGAAAATTAATTTTTAATTGATTTTGGATGACTGATTTTCAAAGAAACAGACCATAATAAAATACTTCAAAATAAACCCTAATCATGCCTATTGCATCAATAATTCAGATGGAACAATTCTCCTTCTTGTCATGTGTTCATTGCATGTACGGCCCCAATTTTTCATGTCTCCATGTGTCCACAATTATTGTTAGTCTGTCTCCTCCCACAGTAACTCTGGGATTCGCCACATGACATGCATCAGCCAGTGGGACAGTAGCAAACTTGACATGAGCACAGACTTTTAAAAAAATGCACATTTTTTATTCTCCTCCCGTTCCTATGTTTTCATCATTATAATATGCTCAGGACAGTTTGCTAGAGGATGAAACATGGAACAGAGAGCAAGGCTGCCCAATTATCCCAGCTGAAGCCCCAGTTATGTGAGAGAATTCAGCCAAGATTTGCAGTGCTGCCTTGTAGAGCTGCTGCCAACCATAGACTCTTGAGTGAGTTCAACTGATTGCAGACCAGGCTAGCAGAACTGCCCATCAGGCCTGCTTACCCAATGGAAAATAGGAAATTGTTCTTAAGTTACTAAGTTTTTGGAGTGATTTTTTACACAGTCATAGCTAACCTACAGGTTTCCTTATTAGGCTATTAGCTATAATAGCACTGTAACACATCTAGGGTAGATGATTTGGAGAGAAAGTAACTCATTATATACATTTACATTCTTCTGCTGTTTTTATATTTACTTCAAGCCTTTGTAATGGAATCCATGAAACAGTCTTAAAAACTTCAATAAAAGTTTTTAAACAAAGTGAGAATGCTGAATGGGAGATTATTTTATTTTATTTTATTTTATTTTATTTTTGAGACAGTGTCTCGCTCTGCCACCCAGGTTGGAGTGCAGTGGTGTGATCTCGGCTCACTGCATGCTCCGCCTCCCGGGTTCACGCCATTCTCCTGCTTCAGCCTCCCGAGTAGCTGGGACTACAGGCGCCCGCCACCATGCCTGACTAATTTTTTGTATTTTTTTATTTTTTCAGTAGAGACGAGGTTTCACTGTGTTAGCCAGGATGGTCTCAATCTCCTGACCTCGTGATCCACCCGCCTCGGCCTCCCAAAGTGCTGGGATTACAGGCATGAGGGAGCTTATTTTTACCATACGAAGATAGTCCTAAAGATGATCCTAAAAAGAAAAAAAAAAAACCCTCCATCTTACATACATCCGTTCTTCCCCCTGCCAACTTACAACCTACACTCAGTTTCCAGTGGTACAAATTGTCCACCAGCATCAGGCAGGCAGCCTGATAAGAGTCTTAATAGGACCCCTGCTGATGCGCATCTCTGTTCTCTACTCAGCTGTCCCATCCTGCAGCTACAGTTCTAAAGTTACAGGACAGTTTCTAACTTTGTGCTTGTCCCAAGGCATCAGAACCAAGGCACATGATTTGTAATTTATGAGGACACCCACAGAGCTGTCACTTGCAAGGCAGGTGTTGGGAAAATGGCAAGCAGCTCTAGGAAAGAAAAGAAGTCTGATCTCACCCCTGAATAATGGTGGCCAACCTAGTCATGGATAGGAAGCGTTGACATAAGCGAGCTTTAAAAATAAAGCAATGGCTCATCTTGCTAAAGGCACTCTCTGTCTTTACGCAGTTAAAGGTAACAGAATTTAAGTAATCTATGAACAAATTAGGCATTGTGTTTACCTGAGGCATCTTGTTTACTTTTGAACTATGCTTTGCCATCTAAACTGCCAATTTCAGGTATCCTATGGATAAACAGGACAAATCAAAATTCAAATCAATAGTCCCACAGAGTGCAAAGGATAACGATCTCCCAACCTCCCTAAATAAAAAATACAATGTGGAAACCAAAACAAATTAACTCAAGAGCTAGATTAAAGGAATTTTAATAAAAACATTTAAAAATACAAATTGTCAATCAATATGTTAGCTGCCTAATATTTTTGTGTCAACTGAGTTTGGTCTCATTGCAGCTTATTTTAAATTCCAATTTATGGTAATATTTCAGAGACTAATAAAGTGTAATTTAATCTGAAATTGATTTAGATGGAGTGGAAGTCTATTTATAAGTAAAAGTAGAGTGAAAGTCTTGAGGCATTTTCAAAGCGCCACAAGGCACACATTGCTACTCTGGATGGAAAGAATATCAGCTAGGAAGCAATCTGAGCTGCGAAACCAAATGACATCATGATGAAAAGGTTCCAAGATTTAAAAAGTATTGCTTACTGATAGGCAGCTCAGCTTTCCATCTTGGGCCTGAGAGTTCCAGTGGGATGTCTGTGTTACAATGCAAGTCTAGCCAACTTCACACTATGGGAAAGCCACAATGATCATAGAGAATCAAATATCAGGAGATTGCTGGTTGCAATTGGAACTTTCACATTACCAAACTAGAGGATTTTTTTCCTTCCTTTGGTAAGGACAGATCGGATTGGCCGATATTTCTCATTACCACATTCTTAAAATCTTCCTTCCTTATAACTTGCATCCTGGTATTGACAGCTCACATCCTTCTTACAGATTTCTTTATGTTGCCTACTAACAAAGAGTCCACAAACCACCCAATGACATAATCCATTGTGTCCTGCACCCTCCTGCCTCTACCATAAATGATCAGGGCTGAAAAGAACAGTTAAGGAGGTTCTGGAAAACTCCAAGCCACATATTTGGCTCTTAGCCTGGAAAAACTCCTGACAGAAAGCCTGTCTGGTGCCCTTGGCAGAGCCCCACAAGATCTAGTAAAATGCCAAAGAGGAGGCAGCATGACATCAAGAGGGAAGTGTATTGTAAAGCAAAAGTGTTACACCTGGCCAAGGCAGATTTGAGAAATTATTATTGACTGGTTGGATGACTGCAATATAGGTATAAAAACACAGAGCCAGTATTCTTGTGTCAATTTTTATTTGGTGGTTTCAGACCAAACTTCCTTCCTATTTATTTGGCTTTTTTTCTAAGAAGTGGAATATAGAGTCTTGAGGAAAATGAAAGGATATCTCTGAGCTGCCCTTTTCCTTCTTTGCAAGAATCCAAAGGGAAGACAAAGAGATTGAAAGCTCAAGGAGGAAGTCACTAAAATAGCTGGAGAACATCCAATATTTCACATTGAATCTCAGCTCAGCAACTGTGCACACCAGCTTGATCTCTGTTGTAAGAGCCTCTGAGGTTGGATTCTTCCATTGTTGTCCTCCTATCTTATCTACCTTCACCATCCCACATGTTGGACTGATCTGAAAGTGTGAGATCCTAAGGAGGTGTGAAGGGGGAAGGTTTGTCCTGAACACTCAGCTGTTGGAAAATCTCTAAAGATCCACTAGCAAGCCAAGTATTTTAGAATGCTCTGCATTTCATCAGAATGCATGTTCATGAACAAACACCAAGAAACTTCAAGCCTGAGGGCTTGAAGAGTAGGAGATGGTGGAAACAGCCATCAACTTATACTCAGACTTAAAAATCTCTGGCTTATCTGCAAGGTCTGCTTCAGGTTAATAAAAGAACACATTAAAACCTGAATTTTACCATTCATTATATATTCTTCATTATTACAGAGATGACGATAAGGAAAAAGCTCAGATGTCTTGATGTGTTGATAAAGGACCTAAAGACAAATACAAATGATGTTAGGTTTCTGGTCTTTTAAACCTGAGTACGAACAATGCTTTGGCCACTTATGGGCTATGTGAACTTGGTCAAATTACTTTATCTCTCTGAGCCTCATTTTCCTTATCTGCAAATAGGGAAAAATGCTTACTGTGTGGTATTATGATAAAGATGAATCAAGATGATATATGTGAGGCACCTAGGAAAATAATAGTCTATTTTTATCACATGGATTGACTTATTGCTATTAGCTAGTTGCCTTTTAACATGGATAGGTATATTTATTTAACAAATATTTATTTCTCACCTGCCATAAGCCAGGCATCCTTTAAAATAAGTTATCTTGAAAAAAATGAAAACATACATTAGTTAAAAAACCCAAGAAGATTTTTATCATCTCTTTTACATCTGGCTCCATCCAAGGCATTTAGGGAATATAAAAGTGGAATACTCAAATGTGTAGATGACACATCATGACATGTATTGAAAAAAGCAGTGTATGACTAAGTACCAAAATGAAACAACACAGATTTAAACTCTCAGGCTTTATTCAGCATAGCACTCTAAAGATATGATAAACTTTTAGCTTTCTTAGAACTATATAAAGAATTTTCTCCGAAGACCTGATCATATCTAATGTATGTTATTTCAAGGCTTATAGAATTCTCTTACACTATGTTAGAATAGTAGTACTTCAATTTGAACTTCTATAATTAGATTGAAGAACTTCCTCAAACTTTGTTTCTGTTCCCAATATACTGAATATACCCAATATACTGAAAAGGAAATGCTAATTTGCCTATCACTACTTGGATTTAGAGCCAGAAGTAACTGTATTTCAAGTTATCTAAATTCCCTGACCCTCAGGTATTTTATCTGTAACATAAGGATAATCATTTCTTCTATAATATTGTTATAAATAACATATGTCAAAGTACAATAAAAATTAAGAAGAAACCAAATAAATGTTAGCCATTTTTTTGGCATGTTGATTCTATTGCCTCGTGTTTTTCTTTATGTTATCCACATTGAATAAATAAATAAATAAACAAAAGCTCCCACATTTCCAACAATTTATCTTGTATTAAAAGCATTTATCAGAGTGCCATGCAAATCATCTTAAAATCAGTGGATTTAAGATTAAGTTTTATTTTATCTGAACGAAATGCCTTCAATGATAACCATTTTATGAACATTTAATGCCTAGAAATTAGAAGGCATTGGGTTGAATCAATGAGTTACTATTTTAAGCTACACTGCAAAACAAGTACATTTTTCAATATATTTGGCTTCTAGCTCCTAGAGTAGCCTCATTTCCAAAAGTTAGCCTAATCATGAAATGGGAAGATTAAGAGTTTTTCAGCATCCTTCAGACAGCAGACAGCATTTCTTCCACCATCCACTGTCCAATTGTTCTGCACGTATTTGTACAAATAACATGACATGACATGACTATTATCTTCCTTCAGTTTATCCTTGTGTATTTGAATGTGACCTCTCTAAATATTTTCTTTTCATCCTTTCTAAAAATCGCATTTCTTTTTCAACTGAAGTATCTTTTACACAGAAAAGCATCTTTTACACAGAGAGCTTTTAGCTCTCTTCACTATCAATTTATATTTCCTTCTATGTCGGATTTTTGCCTACCTATTTGGCATCAGTAAGTGTAACAGTTACAGCTGCATAACAAACCACCCCCAAAACTTACTCCCATAGCTATTGTGATAGCTTATGCACCTGTGGGTTGGCCAGAGATTGTCTGATCTAGGCTTGGCTCATCTGGGTATCTCTGCTGATTGCAGGGATGCTTGCTCATACATCTATAGGTTAGCTGGAATCAGCTAATCTAGGCTTGGCTTCCTTCCCCTTTTCCATCTGAGGATGGAATAGGGGCTCTGCTTCAAGCTAGGTTCAACTTGGCAAGGGAAACTCTAGTCTATATGCTTCTTATTTTCTTATTTTCGTCTAGCAGGCTAACCCAGGTATGTTCTTCTCATGGCAATCGGAGGTACGAAAGGACAAACAGAAACATATAAGCCCTATTGAGGCCTAGGCTCAGAACTGGCACACTCTCACTTCTGCCTCATTCTCTTAGCCTAAACAAATCACACATGAAGCCCCAAATTAAGATACAAGGACACTCCTCCCATAGTTAGAGAACATTGAAAAGTTACATGGCAAAGTGAGTACCAGGAGTGGTAAAGAATTGGGGCCAGTAATATAATCTAGCATGGTAAGATCCCTGCAGATGTCAAAGCAGCAGCATTTAACCCTTCCCGGACATCAAAATAGTCTTTTGTTTCCAGAGGCCACTTTGTAATGCAAGGTGGGAGCAGGAGGAACAGCTGCAAGCAATTTGCAGTATTTCATGACTAGCGTAACACCTCTCGTCATGACAGACAGAATATTTACAGCAGAGATTATGGTGCCCCACACAGTCTTTTCCATAATAATAACATCATTCAGAAAAAAACTTGGTTTTCAAGATTGAGTTCAAATTGCTCATGGCTCATTTTCAGTGAGTTAACTTTAGGCAACATTTGAGAGAAAGTATCCTCTGATGGTAACTCATTTTAGCTGCCAAAGTTAGGATAAAGTTGACTCTAGTTCTGAGTGAGCCCAAATAATAGATGTAGCATTGAGATAATCTTGTCAGCATCAAATAACTCTCTTTTATAATATCAGTACTGATTTTTTTACATGTCTGCCCTTTCTATTCAAAGATCTGTAATTTATATTCTCAGTGTGGAGGAACCATAAGTAAACATGAGACCCTGTAAGGTTTAATCAATTGCCATCATGATAAAAGTGAGTACTTAGAAGTATTAAACAATAAGGATTATAGGTAGTACAGGTAGTTATGCAGTATAGTTTTTAAAATTCAAGCAGAGTCACTTCTCCTAATGAGATTTACAATATAAAGAGGAAGCAATTAAAACGGCATAAAATACATATCAGATATGAAATAAGAACAATATAAAAATTCAGCACAAACTGTATTATCTGCACCTAGGTGACAGTGAATAAAAGTTTCTCTGAACAATTTCCCAAGATGTATTGATGTGCTATGTCTGTTGGTATCTGAAAGGGAAGTTTGACTGTGACACTCCTCTCAGAGCCACTTTAAGCATCTGAAAGAGCCTGCCAACAGTGGCTATCTTTGTTTGGCACAGGCAGTCCTCCATATTTCTCACCCAGGAAGGGCAAGGTGACTCCTTACCCATCAGCTAAAACAAATTCTGGCTTCCAGCCTGGAGTCTTGTAAACCTGTTTGTCTCTTTCCCATTAGCCCTTAAGTGGCGGTTCTCAAGGTGCACCAGCATCATCAGCATCACCTGGGAACTTCTTACAAAAACAAAGTCTTATGTTTTACCCTAATCTCGCTGAATCAAAAATTCTGGGGGTGGAGTGCAGCAATCTGTGTTTTTACAAAATCTCCAGTAACTCTCATGCTGCTGAAGTTTAAGAATGACCACCCTCAAGCATGCAGGTACAGAAAATACGTTTATAAGAAGTGAGGAGGGAAATGTCAGGGAACCATTGCTCCTCCTTCTAAGAAAGCCTGATATCAGTCCACTCACTCTGTCTTATTCTCCCACTGCAAGTCCTGGATACATAATCTTCCACCCCCTAACCCCCCCACACACTAGATAGACACATGGATGACAGATAGATAGATACATAGATAGATAATAGATAAGACATTTCATCCTGGATAAAATGTATTTACCTAGACGAAGTCAGATTTTAAATTTATATCAAGACAACTATGAAAGTGATGAGTCACAAAAGGGTAGCCCGTGTGTGTCACAGTGGAAAAGAAGGAAGTGGAAGAGAAGAACAGTTATGTTCCTCTGTGTAGATGAAGGGGGAGTCTCAGAGAGGCAGCATCTCTCTTTTGAAGACATCTTTATTTTTTTTTTTTTCTGAATAGCCCCATCCTTGAGCCATTGCAAATACCAGCAGCCCAGGACCTTCAAAGAGTGAAATCCAGAATAACATGTATTAACTCTATGTATTGATGATTGTTAGGCTTTTCTCAGAAAGATTAGGATATCTTGTTCAGAATCACAAGACAACTGCAATAGCACCTGGGGAGAGAAATAAAGACCAGGGATGGACACGGTGGCTCATACCTGTGATCCTAGCACTTTGGGAGCCCAACTCAGAGGATTGCTTGAGCCCAGAAGTTCAAGACCAGCCTGGACAGCATAGTGGAAACCCTCTGTATCTACAAAAAATAAAAAAATAATAATTAGGTGGGTGTGCTGGTGTGTACCTGTAGTCTCAGCTACTCAGGAGGCTGAGGCTAGAGGGTTGCTTAAGCCCAGAAGTTCAAGGTGACAATGATCTATGATTGTGCCACCGTACTTCAGCCTGGGTGACAGAATGAGACCTTGTCTCTAAAAGAAAACAAAAGATATAAAGACCATCAGTTGTCACAACCAATGCTGTAATCCATCAGTCTCCAAAGTGGCCTGGGTTCACTCCAGGGGGCTCTCAAATAATCCACTTGGGTGCAGGGACAAAATATCAGCACTTCTATTTCTATTTAGGTTGTCACATAAATGATAAAAAAATTAGGGTTCAAAAATATGATTGTATATACTGATGCTGCTATCTTCACTTAGTTTGTCCCATATGATATGATATGGTACAAGAGGGAGTATATATTAGTCCATTCTCATGCTGCTGTAAAGAACTGTCTGAGACTGGGTAATTTAGAAAGGAAAGAGGTTGAATTAACTCACAGTTCCACAGGGCTGGGGAGGCCTCAGGAAACTTACCATCATGGCAGAAGGAGAAACAAACACATCCTTCTTCACATGGCAGCAGGAAAAAAATGAAAACCGAATGAAATGGGAAGCCCTTATAAAAACCATCAGGTCTCCTGAGAAGTTACTCACTATCATGAGACTAGCATGGGGGAAACTGCCCCCAGGATTCAATTACCTCCCACTGGGTCCCTTCCATAACATGTGGGGATTATGGCTCCACCCCTGCAGCAAACTTCTGCCTGAACCTCCAGGCATTTCTATATATCCTCTGAAATCTAGGTAGAGGTTCCCAAACCTCAATTCTTGACTTTTGTGTACCTGCAGGCTCAATACCTCGTGGAAGCTGCCAAGGCCTGAGGCTTGAGAACTACAATTCAAGATGAGATTTGGGTGGGGTCACAGCCAAACCATATCATTCCACCCCTGGCCCCTCCCAAACCTCATGTCCCCACATTTCAAAACACAATCAGGTCTTTCTAACAGTCCCCCAAAATCTTAGCTCATTCCACTATTAACTCAAAAATCCAAGTCCAAAGTCTCATATGAGACAAGGCAAGTCCCTTCCATCTATGAGCCTGTAAAATCAAAAGCAAGTTAGTTACTTCCTAGATACAATGGGGGTACAGGCATTGGGTAAATACAGCCATTCCATATGGGAGAAATTGCCCAAAACAAAGAGGCTACAGGCCCCATGCAAGTCTGAAATTCGACAGGGCAGTCATTAAACCTTAAACTTTCAAAATTATCTCCTTTGACTTCATGTCTCACATTCACATCATGCTGATGCAAGAGATGGGCTCTCACAGCTTCAGGCAGCCTCCACCCCTGTGGCTTTGCAGGGTGTAGCCCTCCTCCCAGATACTTTCACCAGCTGACATTGAGTGTCTGCAGCTTTTCCAGGAGCACAGTGCAAGCTGTCAGTGGATCTACCATTCTGGGGTCTGAAGAATGGTGGGCCTCTTCTCACAGCTCCACTAGGCAGTGCCCCAGTGTGGACTCTGTGTGGGGGCTATAGCTCCATATTTCTCTTTTGCACTGCCTTAGCAGAGGTTATCCATGAGAGCTTCAGTCCTGCAGCAAACTTCTGCTGGACATCCAAGCATTTCAATACATACTCTGAAATCTAGGCAAATGTTCTCAAACCTCAATTCTTGACTTCTGTGCACCTGCAGGCTCAACCCTGCATGAAAATGGCCAAGGCTTGGGGCTTAAACCCTCTTAAGCCATGGCCTGAGCTGTACCTTGGCCCCTTTTAGCCACGACTGGAGCAGCTGGGACATGGGGCACCAAGTCCCTAGGCTGCACACAGAAGGGGGGGTCCTGGGTCTGGCCCATAAAACCATTTTTTTCTCCTAGGCCTCCAGGCCTGTGATAGGAAGGTCTGCTGGGAATATCTCTGACATTTTCCCCATCATCTTGGTGATTAACATTTGGCTCCTCGTTACTTATGCAAATTTCTGCAGCAGCCTTGAATTTCTCCCCAGAAGATGGATTTTTCTTTTCTATTGCATCATCAGGCTGCAAATTTTCCAAACTTTTATGCTGTGCTTCCTCTTGAACACTTTGCTGCTTAGAAATTTCTTCTGCCATATATCCTAAATCATCTCTCTCAAGTTCAATGTTCCACAGATCTCTAGGGCAGGGGCAAAATGCCATCAGTCTCTTTGTATAGCAACAGTGACTGTTACTCCAGTTTCCAAGTTTCTCATCTCTGAGATCACCTCAGCCAGGACTTTATTGTTCATATCACTATCAGCATTTTGGTCAAAGCAATTCAACAAGTCTCTAGGAAGTTCCAAACTTTCCCTTATATTCCTGTCTCTGAGCCCTCCAAGTCTCTAGAAAGTTATAAACTTTCCCACATTTTTCTGTCTTCTTCTGAGCCCTCCAAACTGTTCCAAACTCTGCCTCTTACCCAGTTCCAAAGTTGCTTCCATATTTTCAGGCATCTTTATAGCAGCACCCAACTCTCTGTGGTACCAGTTTACTATATTAGTCTGTTCTCCTGCTGCTATAAAGAACTGTCCAAGACTGGGTACTTTAGAAAGGAAAGAGGTTTAATTGACTCACAGTTCTGCAGGGCTGAGGAAGCCTCAGGAAACATACAATCATGGCAGAAGGGGAAGTAAACACATCATTTTTCACGTGGTGACAGGAAGGAGAAAAATGAGAACTGAGCAAAGGGTAAAGCCCCTTATAAAACCATCAGACCTTGCGAGAACTTACTTGCTATCATGAGAACAGCATGGGGGAAACTGCCCTTATGATTCAATTACTTCCCACCGGGTCCCTCCATGGCATGTGAGGATTATGGGAACTACAATTCAAGATGAGATTCAGGTAGGGACACAGCCAAACCATATTAGTGTAAGAAACTATGGTGCAGAGGCCTTGACAGAGGATCTCTCACTCATGCATTTGCTTTCAGGGTATCACAACCTTTAAATAGATTTTTGGTTTTAAGACTAGCCATTACTAAATGGATCCATAGTAAAAATCTTACATTAAAAATAATACTAATAAGATAGGTGCAGTGAAAATGAGAAAAAAAATATAAGTTAATCAGATCTTCCAAGAAGCTAGCCAATAAAAATTTAAATTATTAAAGACAATTTGAAATGTGTACTTATAACCACTACCTGTTTAGAGAGCTTTGCCTTTAGTATACAACACTTTATTTCCTGAAATATTAGCAAATAATAGTATGAAGATGCCATGATCAACAAGACATTTATCAGTGAATTTCTATGACATGATGTCAAATCTCTGCACTTTTTAGAAACAATGTTCAGAATAATGCACTTTAACCAACTGAACTTTATGTTTCTTTTGAAGTTTCTTATTAATTAGCAAATGTTTAAAAATAAGGCAATGAAATTTTTGATTCAAAAATAGCTAAAAAATAGGAATCAAAAAGGTGGCAAATTAAATTATTTGTCAGTAAATATTGTTGGAAGGTGCCTGGAAGATTTAAGAAACCAAATTTAATTACACAATGTGTGCTGTTTGCAATACAGTTGGATGAAAGAACAAATGTTTGCAATTCCTCTCAGTTTATGGTATTTGCTGGATTCCATTTCAATAATGAAATACACAAGTGATTTGTATGAGTCATTAAATAAAAGATATACCAGAGAAGATATAATGTCAATAGCTATTTAACTTATTTATTGATAACAATGTTTATAGGAACACTGTAAATTAACTACTGTTAGAACAGGCACTTTGAAACCATAAAAAGATTCCAGGGTAAATTGCAGAGATGGCGCTGCATTGTATCCTTCATAGGCAAGTTTTTGCAACAGGAAGGTAAAACCAGTGGTGCACTATGTGCTATAGAATAACATAGATGAGGTTAGACCTTATTAAAACAAGAACTTTGAAATATCTTCACACTATTTTCTAATTAGATAGGAGTATATATTTTTTAAAACCTTACGTCACTCAGAATACCACTAAATATCTTATTGCAGATACTTTACAAAGGGCTGATAAATTTAAAGGTGACATATAATTATCTTTACAAAAAGACAAGCATTCCTAACTTGTTGATCTTTCCTGTGATGACAAAGGCTGTCAGTAGTATTCTGCCCAGCATTAACCAAAAAAGACCACACTAAATATTCTCTTTCAAGGTAAAATTGATGTTTTTGTAATGAGTGAGAAAGTAATTGCTTTTTGAAAGAAGTTCATTCTGCAGAAAAAATATTTGGCAATGAATTTGTGGGAGTATTTCTCTGACTCAGTGATTTTGTTGCTAAAAGTGGTTTATCACCTAGAAAAATCATTTTAAAGGGCTTGTGGCTAAAAAAGAAATCATTGATATTTTGAACTAATTTGGCAAAAAAAAGAAACAACCCTAAATGCAGTGCTTTCCACCTAGTTTCCTTGAAACACTGAATGACATCTGGGAAGACAGAAATTTACTAGCCAAATTTCAGCAACAAAAAAGGATTAAATGGGATTGAAAAGTGAGCATTTGGCTAGGTGTATATGTGGAAGAATGAAAGTAGACTCCTACCTCTCACCGTATACAACAATTAACTCAAGATGAATTAAAAATTTAAATTTAAGACCTCAACAATAAGAATCTGAGAAGAAAACCTAGGAAACACCATTCTGAACATGGACTTTGGGAAAGAATTTATGACTGTCTTCAAAAGCAATTGCAACAAAAACAAAAATTGACAAGTGGAATCTAATTAAACTAAAGAGATTCTGCACAGCAAAAGAAACTATCAACAAAGTAAACAGACAACATACAGAATGGAAGAAAATATTCACAAACTTTGTATCTGACAAGGGTCTAATATCCAGAATCCATAAGGAACTTAAGCAACTGAACCAGCAAAAAATAAATAACCCCATTAAAAGACATGAACAGACACTTCTCAAAAGAAGACACCCAAGTTTACAACAAATATAGGAAAAAATGCTCCACATCATTAATCATCAGAAAAATGAAAATTAAAACCACAGTGAGATACCATCTCACACCAGTCAGAATGGCTATTACTAAAAAGTCAAAAAATAACAGATGCTGTCGAGGCTGCAGAGAAAAGGAAATGCTTATACACTGTTGGTGGGAATTTAAATTCATTCAGCCACTGTGGAGAGCAGTTTGGAGATTTCTCAAAGAACTTAAAACAGAACTATCACTCAACTCAGCAATCCCATTACTGGGCACATATCCAAAAGAAACCAAATTGTTCTGCCAAAAAGATAAATGCACTCACATGTTCATTGCAGTGCTATTCACAATAGCAAACACATGGAATCAACCTAGGTGCCCAGCAGTGGTGGATTGGATAAAGAAAATGTGGTATATGTACACCATTGTATTAGTCCATTTACATGCTGCTGATAAAAACATACCTGAAACTGGACAATTTTCAAAAGAAACAGGTTTATTGGACTTACAGTTCCACATGGCTATGGAGACCTCACAATCATGGCAGAAGGTGAAAGGCAAGGAGCAGCAAGTCACATCTTACATGGATGGTTGCAGGCAAAGAGAGAGCTTGTGCAGAGAAACTC
This sequence comes from Homo sapiens, assembly GCF_000001405.40. Classification (NCBI taxonomy): domain Eukaryota; kingdom Metazoa; phylum Chordata; class Mammalia; order Primates; family Hominidae; genus Homo; species Homo sapiens. Next base: position 117,149,846 of record NC_000006.12, read on the forward strand.
CTGTTTTTAAAACCACCAGATCTCATGAGACCCATTCACTATCATGAGAACAGCACGGGAAAGACCCACCCCCATGACTCAGTCATCTCCCACTGGGTCCCTCCCAAAATACGTGGGAATTATGGGAGCTACAAGAGGAGATTTGGGTGGGGACACAGAGCCAAACCATATCATTCTGCCCCAGCATCTCCTAAATCTCATGTCCCCACATTTCAAAACACAATCACGTCTTTCTAACAGTCCCCCAAAGTCTTAACTCACTCCACTATTAACCCAAAAGTCCAAGCCCAAAGTCTCATCTGAGACAAGGCAAGTCCCTTCCACCTATGAGCCTGTAAAATCAAAAGCAACTTAGTTACTTCCTAGATACAATGGAGGTACAGGCATTGGGTAAATACAGCCATTCCAAATGGGAGAAATTGGTCAAAACAAAGGGGCTACAAGCCCCATGCCAGTCTGAAATCCAACAGGGCAGTCAAATCTTAAAGCTCCAAAATTATTTCCTTTGACTCCATGTCTCACATCCAGGTCATGGTGATGCAAGAGGTGGGTTCCCATGGTCTTGGCCACCTCTGCCCCTGTGGCTTTGCAGGGTACAGCCTCCCTCCAGCTGTTTTCATGGGTTGGCGTTGAGTGTCTGTGGCTTTTCCAGGTGCACAATGTAAGCTGTCAGTGTATCTACCATTCTGGGGTCTGGAGGATGGTGGCCCTCTTCTCACAGCTTCACTAGGCAGTGCCCCAGTAGGGGCTCTGTGTGGGGGCTGGAACCCCACATTTCCCTTCCACACTGCCCTAGCAGAGGTTCTCCATGAGGGTCCCACCTCTGCAGCAAACGTCTGCCTGGGCATCCAGACATTTCCATACATCCTCTGAAATCTAGGCGGAGGTTCCCAAACCTCAGTTTTTGACTTCTGCGCATCCACAGGCACAACACCACATGGAAGCTGCCAAGACTTGGAGCTTGCACCCTCTGAAGCCACAGCCTGAGCTCTATGTTGGCTCCTTTCAGCCATGGCTGGAGTGGCTTGGATGCAGGACACCAAGTCCCTAGGCTACACACAGCACAGGGACCCAGGACCTGGCCCAGGAAACCACTTTTTCCTCCTAGGCCTGTAATGGGAGGGGCTGCCCGAAAGGTCTCTGACATACCCTGGAGACATTTTCCCCATTGTCTTGGTGATTCACATTTGGCTCCTCATTATTTATGCAAATTTCTGCAGCTAGCTTGAGTTTCTCCTCAGAAAATGGGATTTTCTTTTCTATCACATTGTCAGGCTGCAGATTTTCCAAACTTTTATGCTTTTTTTCCCTTTTGAAACTGAATGCCTTTAACAGCACCCAAGTCACTTCTGGAATGCTTTGCTGCTTAGAAATTTCTTCCACCAGATATCCTAAATCATCTCTCTCAAGTTCAAAGTTCCACAAATCTCTAGGGCAGGGGCAAAATGCCACCAGTCTCTTTGCTAAAACATAACAAGAGTCATCTTTACTTCAGTTCCTAACAAGTTCCTTATCTCCATCTGAGACCACCTCAGCCTGGACCTTATTGTTCATATCACTATCAACATTTTTGTCAAAGGCATTCAACAAGTCTCTAGGAAGTTCCAAACTTTCCCACATTTTTCTATCTTCTTCTGAACCCTCCAAACTGTTGCAACCTCTGCCTGTTACCCAGTTCCAAAGTTGCTTCCACATTTTTGGGTATCTTTTCAGCAACGCCCCACTCTCCCAGTACCAATTTACTATATTGGTTCATTTTCATGCTGCTGATAAAGACATACCTGAAACTGGGCAATTTTCAAAAGAAACAGGTTTATTGGACTTACAGTTCCAGTGGCTGTGGAGGCCTCACAATCATGGCAGAAGGTGAAAGGCAAGGAGGAGCAAGTCACATCTTACATGGATGGTTGCAGGCAAAGAGAGAGCTTGTGCAGAGAAACTCCTGTTTTTAAAACCATCATATTTCATGAGTCCCATTCACTATCACGAGAACAGCACAGGAAAGACCCACCCCCATGACCCAGTCATTCCCACTGGGTCCCTCCCAAAATAATGGGAATTATGGGAGCTACAAGATGAGATTTGGGTGAGGACACAGAGCCAAACCATATCAACCACGGAATATGACAGAGTCATGTAAAACAAGATCATGTCCTTTGCAGCAATATGGATGCAGTCAGAGGCCATTATCCTAAGCAAATTAATGTGGTAACAGAAAACAAAACACTGCATGTTCTCAATTAAAAATAGGAGCAAAACATTGGGTACTCATAGATATAAAGATGGCAACAATAGACACTGGGGACTACTAGAAGGGAAAAAAAGTGAGGAGGGATAGGGTTGAAAAACAGCTCTTGGAGTACATGCTCAGTAGCTGGGTGATGGGATCATTCATACACCAAACCTCAGCATCACACAATATACCCATGTAACAAACTGGCATGTGTACCTCCTGAATCTAAAATAAAAGTTGGAAAAATAAATAAATACATAAAAAAGAAAAAGAAGTGAACATTGTATTTTGTAAATGCAGCCAATGATACTTCCTCTACATTGAACTATGTATCTTCATGAAGTATTTTTTTCAGCTGTGGCAGTCAACTTAGTATGAGATCTTTGAAACATTGTATCACAAAGGTCCACACCAAGATTTTCTGTAATAAGTATTATCAATCACATAATTATTTTCCAAAAATGCTCTATTGTTAAAATTTTGTAGTAAGATGAAATTGGGGCCAGGGGCAGTGGCTCACATATCCCAGCACTTTGGAAGGCTCTGCCAGGAGGATGACTTGGGCCCAGAAGTTCAAGACCAACTTGGGCAACTATGTTAGTCCACTCTCACATTGTTATAAAGAACTACCTGAGACTGGGTAATTTATAAAGAAAAGAAGTTTAATTGACCCACAGTTCCACAGGCCATGCAGAAGACATGGCTGGGAAAGACTCAGAAAACTTACAATCATGGCAGAAGGGCAAAGGGGAAGCAAGCACATTTTCACATGACAGTAGGAGAGAGAGAGCATGAAGGGGGAAGTGCTTCACACTTTTAAACAACCAGATCTCATGAGAACTCACTCCCTATCACAAGAATAGCAAGAGAGAAATTCACCCCCATGATCAATCACCTCCCAGCAGGTCCCTCCCCCGACACTGGGGATTACAATTCGAGATGAGATTTTGGTGGAGACACAGAGCGAAACCATATCAGCAACATAGTGAGAACTCAACTCTACAAAAAAATTAAAAATTAGCCAGGTATGGTGGTACATGCCTGTAGTCCCAGCTATTCTGGAGGCTGAAGTGGGAGGATCAATTCAGTGTGGGGGGTCAAGCCTGTTGTGAACCGTGATCATACTACTGCACTGCAGTCTGGGCAGCAGACCCTGTCTGAAAAAAATCAAAAACAAAACAAAAGACCGAAAAGGGGATTTTTACTATTAATAAATTAAATTCATTATAAATATGTATTGTATCTCTATATGACCTTTTAAATATATGTTTTGTCTGTTTAATAATGTGCATAATAGAGTAGCACATATATGTACTCTTAAACAAATATGCAAATATTAATACCCAATATTTTAACTTTAAACAAATATGCAAATATTAGTACTCAATTTTAGTACTCAATATGTTTGCTTAAAAATATTTTATTGATGGATTATTTGATTACAATCAAAACAATTGCAGCCTACTTCCGTAATTTATCTATCACGTTACCACCTACACCTATATTAAACCTATAAAAAATAGAGCCATAATATACCTAATAATGCAAAAGCCCCTTTTAGTTCTTTGTCTTTAAACTCTCCGGAAAAAAAAAAAAGGTGTAATAAAAAGTATATTCTCAATCATGGCAGAAGGGGAAAGGAAATTAGCAAAACGTTTTTGTTAAATTTACAAGAATTTTTAAAATCATGATATTTTCAGACCTCATAATTCAACTTCTGAGAGCCTGTTTATTCCCAAAGAGATAATCTGAACTGGAGAAAAAAGCTCTATGCACTGAGACCTCCTTTTCCACATTCCTTTTAACAAATTAAAAAAAAGAAACTGGGATAAAATAAAACCAAGAATATGAGAATTTTTTACATTAGGAGAATAACTTTACATGTTCTCCACTAAATGAAATGATGTGGATGCAATGATGTTTATAGTTATAACAAGGAAAAAATGCTGAACAATGACCTCATCCTTGAAAAGAGTAGACATCAAAACGAGAACAGAAATGCTTAGATAGGAAGAAAAGACAAACACATTTATATTAAGGTGGCTGCCTTTGAAATATTTCATTTTTTTCTTTTTCTTCTTCCCTTCAGTGAGCGTGAGTTCTTTTATAATAGAGAAAAAAGAAGTGCCTGTAACCCACATTATCCAAGTCCTTCACCCTGAAAATGCTCCTGGGTTTCTTAGACTCCAGCCCCACTCCCCAACACCCCACCCCATACCCCTCTGGCCACACACCTGTAGGGATGCTTTTTCTTGGCCCCTCCCTCCCATAGGGCTCCAGTGCTAAGCTATTCTACCACTGACTGTATTCCTGATGCCCATTAATGTCACAGCTTCCGCATGAAAGTGGAAGACCTTGACATGCCACTAGTACTCTGACCAACCCTCCACTTTAAGTCAGACACACTGATACATCCCTTAAGAAGTGACTACTTGCGATTTCAACCTCAAGGATATTTTTCTCAGCTACATTGATGTGGCCTAAAAACAAATCATTAAATTGTCAGTGTGCTGTTATTACGAAGTAAGACTTCAAATGGATATCTTCAACCACCTATACATCCATCAATTGTAGGATGGATAAAGCCACTGTGGATGAATATCATATTTATGTAATGGAATACTACATGGCAATGAGAATCAACAACTCAGAGATAACAATATGGAAGACTTTTACAGGCATATTGTTAAATGGGGAAAGTCAGATCCCAAACTACATTACATATGATTCCATTTATGTCAAGTTCAAAAACTGGCAGCACTGATATACGCTGTTAGAAGACAGGGCAGTGAGATGGGGAGAAAAAAGGGGGCCTTCTGGGATGCTGGTAAGTTTTGCCTATTATCTCAGTGTCATGTTTACTTTGTAAAAATTCACATACGGTCCATATAGTATTCATGCACAAGATTACCAAATTGTCTAAAATTTTAATTTTTTTGCTTAAAAAGAGTGACTGTTTGAGGCTACCATAACTCACAACACTTGGCCCCACAACATAGAAACATGCTTGTTATCTGTTGGTGAACTCAGTCAAGAATTGCTTGTTTGACCTACTTTTGAAACCCCTGGGTCTGGCTTCTTTACTTGTTCTTTGGTTTTCATCACCATTTCCTTCTTTCATATTTCACCATGATGTTGTCTTCCCAGTTAGGACCCTTTGTTTCTATAGAAAATTATAACTATCCTTTCCATTTAGAAGAGACCTCTCCCAGGTTGTATAGGATTCAGGGTCCTTTTTCTGTTCTACCCCATGACAAGTGTTCCTGTCTAGCTTGTTCTCAATGGGCAAATTTCAGGTCCTTATATTTTTGCATAAATCAGTAAAATGATAAAATATTATGAGTAGATCTTTCCTCTGTCATTTTGGAACCTTATACAATTATCCTGGATATGGCTAAAACCTGGATGAATAAGTAGTGATCCTTTATTCACCACACACCAAGAAAAGACCTGTGAGTGTACCTTGAAGGTGTTCTGATCTACAGCTATGCAGTCTTGGCTTGAGAAAAAAATGCGTACGTATACAAGTATTTGAGACCAGAAGTTCAATTTTTAAATTGGTACACACATAAATACAATTTGATTAGTCAGTTCACTTTAAGTATGCTATATTTAGGAATTTTTAATGCAACAATGTTGTATTGTTTGTCTAGGATATCTGGGTTGTTCAGTGACTCTTTCTTTGTATTTCTTAGTCAAGGTTTGGTCTTTTGTCTATGTTCCCTAACACAAAATACTTCTCCATAACATTTGCCTCACCTGTAATCATTTGCTTTATATCTGTTTGCCCCACTCCTCTCTAAGTCCTATGAGTCTAGGACAATGTCTATTTTATTTGCCACTGACACTAGCACCATATCCAGTCCCAGCACATAATCATCACTAAACAAATATTCACTGAGTTAATGAAAAAAATGAGTGTATTATAAGCACAGAACATGATACTCTTCAAGTCTGAAGTCTGCTTCTAAACAATTGCATATTACTGAGCTGATCACTAACCTTTCTGAGCCTCAATATTCCTATCAATAAAAACAGGAGGAGGATACCTGTCCTGCTTACCCTATGGGGGGCATCATGATGACCAAACAAGGAAATATATGTGAAAACAAAATATTTATTGATATTATTAAGTAAACATCATTTCTAAGGAATGTGTCTGTCTTGGACATCTTGGTTTGCCCTAATGCATTGTGAGCTCTATAAATTTAATAAACAGGAAAATTTGCTGTTTACATTACAAAAGGTTTCACCCCAAAACTGCCTCTCTATCCCTTTCACTCTACATTTTTTTCTTCATACTATTGATTACTATTTGGAATAGAATGTGTAATTGTCTGTCTGTTTATGTTCTGTTTCCACTACCTAGAATCTTAGCTCCTTGAGGAGAGGCATTTTGCTTGGTTCACAGCTGTACCTCCGGTGCCTGCAATGGTTCCTGGTTACATAGTGTGTTGTCAGTGAATATTTGTTGAATGGATGAACAGAAATTTGAGAAGAGCAGGGGTACCATGAAAGATCAGCAATCAACTATCTGCAAACATGTCACTGGTTGTTGCTGCTGCATTTCTAGACTGTGATTGATAATACTGCCGAGGCACAAGTTGATTCCTTGTTCCCAATTTGATTCCCATTTCAGTTGCTCAGGACCTTTTCCTGCTAAGTCACATAAGGCATCCTCTTACTTGGATCATGACATTCTTACAAAGAACACAGAGCAGGTGTCTTTGCTCTTCTCTGACATTTCTCTACAATGCCTTTAGAACTCAAACTCCAGCAGGAGCATTCATCCCTCCTCCAAGCACTCAAAACTCTTTGGGAGACAATTTTTCACTCTAGCCAAGTCCCAGCTGGGTGGCCAAAAAACAATACATTTGATCCACAGAAAGCAGTGGATTTGGAATGTCTCCCATTACTGGGAGTCAAACACAAAATCAAATTGACTAAATCCTTCTGGAATTCCACAACGCAGCACTTTCTCTAACTCCCAGCTCCACCACATTTGCTACTTTTTATGGCTGCAAAATGCAAACTTTTTAACACCTCTTCCCAATTTGTCACTCCATCCTTCAACTCAGCTTCAAGGAGTGCCACAGAGTTTGAAAAGGAGGAAGAAATGAGCTGCATAATATTGAAACAAAATTGTAGAACAATTAGTGAACTTTTTGCTTGTGATGTAAACTTAAATAACCTATTATAGATGAATATAGTTATATCATATGCCTTTAATTAAGCTTTCTGGTCACATTAGATTTTGATTATTTCTATAGGTTTGCCACATTATAGAATTATGACATTTTAATTAGAATCTAACTGTACATCATTCTGAGTCGAATGGACATTCATTTTAGAAAACATCTTTAGGCTTTAACATTATATTTTCTCTTCTTTCACAGTTTGGAATTAAATTCTCCCTCCACCCTCACATCAATCCATAGCTCAATTAAAAAAATTATGCCCAGTTTTTAATACTCTAAAATAGCAACTGCTGCAGCCGAAGGAAGATTCTTTAAATAGAAAGTGCTTTGTCCTGACCAGAGCAGACAAAATTGCAGCTGGCTCTCACCAGGGCTGTGGCTTTGGCAAAAAGTCCTTCACTACTCACCATTGCTCCTTATCCACATTCCTCATCTTTATCTTCGTCTCTCCTTCCCTAGGTCAAGGCTGGGCCTACAATGTCAATACACACCAGCCGTGAATGGGTGTGGATAAATGAATGAAGGCCAGCATTTCTAGTACACCAGTAGAAGGTACATTTCTGCCCACCAGGAGAAGGATGCAAGGCACATGTAATCTTAGTGATGGATTTGCCAAATTAATCGATTCCACTGTCACATTGGTTATTTGAATTTAATTTAAATCTGGATCTTTGATTGCACTTAAAATATCTTTGAAATATTACAATGAGTTATAACATTGAAATTAAAATTGATTATGCATGCCAAAGCACAGAAGTAGGGTTGTGGAACATAGATTCATGAAAAGGGCAGCAAATGTGAACTTCCCTCTGTTCTTAGAAAGGCCATAAGAAGCGGAAAACACAAAATAAATATTGATAAGTTGGGCCTCACCAAGATTTAGAAATTTTTCTCTTGAAAATACATGAATAAAAAATAAAAAGTCTAGTTACGGGATTAAAGAATACATTTGCGATATAGGTTTCAACAAAGGACTTTTATCTGGAATAATCAGACAAACTTTCCAAAAGATTTGAAGAGAGAAAAGAAGATGTATAAAAGGTTAATAGGAATAAGGGAAATACAAATCAAAACCACAAAAATAGGCCAGGCACAGTGGTTCACACCTGTAATCCCAGCACTTTGGGAGGCCGAGGAGGGCAGATCACGAGGTCAGAAATTCGAGACCAGCCTGGTCAATATGGTGAAACCCTGTCTCTACTAAAAAAATTATAAAAATTAGTCAGGTGTGGTGGCGCGCACCTGTACTCCTAGCTACTCAGGAGGCTGAGGCAGGAGAATTGCTTGAACCCGGGAGGCAGAGGTTGCAGTGAGCCCAGATCGTGCCACTGCACTCCAGCCTGTGCGACAGAGTGAAACTCCGGCTCAAAAATAAATAAATAAATAAACAAAAAAAAAACAAAAAATAAAAATAAAAAATAAAACACACACACACAAATATACTACTAACTGCATATTAGAATGGATAAAATTTAAAACGCTGGCAATACTATATTTCAGCGAATAGATGGGGCAACTGGAACTTCCATATCTTGCCAGTGGGAATGGAATACAGTACAAAGGCTTTGGGAAACTGTTTGGTAGTTTCTTAAAAAGTTAAATGTATGCCCCAGTCATTCCACTTCTAGATATTTATCCATAAGAAATGAGAACATACGCCCACACAAATGTCTGCATGAATATTAGAACAGCTTTATTCAAATAGCCAAAAACTTAGCTTATTTGTTTCCTAAGGCTGCTGTAACAAATTTCTACCAATTGCGTGGCTTAAAACAACAGGATTTTTTCTCTCTCTCTCTAACAGTTTAGGAAGCCAGAAGCCTGGAAGCAAGGTTTTGGTAGGTCAGTTCCTTCTGGAAGCTCTAGGGGGGAATCTGTTCCATGCCTCTCTCTGAGCTTCTGGTAGGTGGTGGGCAATCCTTGGCATTCCTTGGCTTGAAGTAACATCATTACAATTTCCGCCTCCATCATCAGATGTCCTTGCCTGTGTGTCTCTGTGTATCTGTCCTCTTCTTATCAGGATACCAGTGATTGGATTCAGGGTCCACTCTAATCCAGTAGGACCTCATGTTAACCTAATTAATTACATCTGCAAAGACCCTATTTCCAAATAAGGTTAGGTACCAGGGGTTAAGATGTGAACGCCTTTTTGAAAACACAATTCAACTGGCTACACTGGAAGAAAAATGTCCAGCAAAAAGCAAATGAATAACAATATACAGTATATCCATACAATGGGATTACTACTTAGCAATAACAAAGAACAAACTACTGACACAAACAACAAACAACATGAAATTATACCAGGTGGAAAAAGCTGGAACCAAAAATGTACATACCTATGATTCTATTTATATGAAATTCTATAAGATGCAAACTAATATACAGTGGTAGAAATCAGAGTAGTGGTTGCCTGAGGCTGGTGGCTGAGGGAGAGGTGGATTGCAAAAAATCATGAGGGATCTTTTGGAGGTGATGAAAATGTTCTGCATCTCAATTGTGCTGATGGTTTCATGGGTGTATACGCTGCCAAACTCATCCAACTGTAAATTTTAAATGTTCACTTTAATTTGTATATTTCTTGGTTGGGTGCAGTGGCTTATGCCTGCAATCCCAGCACTTTGGGAGGTTGAGGTAGGAGGATGGCTTGAGTCCAGGAGCTCAAGACAAGCCTGGACACCATAATGAGACCTTGTCTCTATTAATAATAATAATAATAATAACCATAACAATTTGAACACTTCATTAGATGTAAATTATACCCCAATTTTTAAAAGCAAATTTGGGCTGCCTTTTAAATAAAGGAGTTTAAGTTCTAGCTATGAATAATTTAATTAAGGGGGAAATAGTAACTATAGATTTAACTAATCCAAAAATGTAGACAGGAACATCAGTATTCTTTGATATGCTTCACATTAATAACATCAACCCTAAATATGCTAAACAGTTCAGGATAACTAGTGTGTATTATGAACAACAGCATGTCATCAGAAGGCTATATGTGACTTCTATCACCAAAATAATTTACAAATCCCTTTAGACACTGAAAATACAAAAGGTCTAAGTTCAAACTTTGTGATTTTTGGAGACTGAATACATGTGTTTCAGGTATAAATTGTATAGCCACAAAAATTCAGTGTGTCAAAATGCCATTTTCTTTATTTTTTCTTAACTGGAATTATCTTAGCTCTTGAGCTCTCTTTTCCACTGATGATAGAAAATTGCTAAGAGTAAATTTCAAACATCTCACCACAAATGTTAAACACTATATTTGAGACAATGAATATGTTAACTAGTTTGATTTAATTATTCTACATTGTCTTCATAAATTACAACATCTCTTTGTACACCATAGATTTATACCATTATAAATTGTCAGTTTACAATATTAAAAAAAAGAACTGAAACTGGCCAATGCAAAGTAATGCAGCCTCTTCCAATGTAAAACTCCTCTGTGTGTAACATCCTGGCACTCAGATGGGGTTACTCCTCTTCTTTATTCCTCCATCTGTATTTTTGTTTTTTGAGACAAGGTCTAGCTCTGTCACCAGGCTGAAGTGAAGTGCAATGGCATGATCATGGCTCACTACAGCCTCAAACTCATGGGGTTAAGGGATCCTCCCCTCTCAGCCTCCCAAGTACCTGGGATGACAGGTACAGGTCACCTCAGCTAATTTTATTTTTTTAGTTTCTTGTAGAGCTGAGGTCTCACTATGTATTTCCTTGGTTGGTCTTGAACCCCTGGCCTCAAGTAATCCTCCAGCCTCGGCCTCTCAAAGTGCTGGGATAACAGGTGAGAAGCTGTATTGTCCTCTCCTGAGGGACAGCGTGCCTCAGCTCATCTGGTCCCTGTTGTCATGCACGGGTTACCACTGCTGAGGTTGCAGGTCTCACTGTGGCCTCTACTCATGAGTATTCCCTGCTCTGGGTCTTTCCCATTCATGCAGATTTCTATCACAGCACCCCTGCCCACAACCCTCTCTTTCTGATGCTCCCCCACACCTCCCGGGGATGCAGAGGACACTGAGGCTCCTCTCAGGCTCATCCACATAGAACCTGGCTTTATTCCCTGATATCCACTGCTCAGGGGCTGTGTTGGATGAAAAGCTTCTCCCTGAAATTGACCATCTTCCAGGCTACACCTTGGGAAGGCTGCCAATAGTCCCATCTGTAAAAGGATGTCCCTAAACCTATTTTGAGTATTTATTGTCCAGGCAACCCCCAGGGTTTCAGCTCAGAAAGGGGCCAGGATGCTGCGCATTTCTCAAAGACATGCTACAAATTGGTTACATCCTCTCCACGTTTCTTCCTTGCCAGTAGTTGGTCAAACTTTTAATCCTGTTTTGAGTCATAACTAGCTTTTTGTCATGGTATATTCTCCTAACAATGTATTATTTAGAGATAAACTCTGTGACTTCTTTGTTCAGTATATGGCACTTGATCTTTCAAGCCAAATTATTTAAAATTCTAATCCAGTCCTTACAGACAAGTAATTAGGAAATCCTACTGGCTCTGAGACCTTCACAAATATATCCAGAATCTGACAACACTCCACCTGTTCTCCCACCTCTCTGACCCAAGCCACTCACCTCCCACCTGGACTACTGTGGCAGTTTCCTGTCTGGACCCTCTGCTTCTCCCTTTGTTCTCTTATAGTCTGTGTCCCACATAGACGCTGGAGTGATCTGCCTATAATGTAAGTCAGGTTCTGCTCAAAACTAGCAATTGCTCTTTATTTCCCTCAGTAAAAGCCAAAAACTTTGCCATGGCCTCCAAGGCCCCACATGACCCAACTCTCCCCTACCCCACCCCAGTTAACTCTGACCTCAAGTCAGCTCCAGCCACACTGGGTGTCCTGGCGCTCCTTCAACATACCAGGCATGCACCTGCCTCATGGTCATTGTCCTAACTGTTCTCTCTTCCTTGAATTTCCTTGAATATTCTGCTCCCCAAAACTTAGGTGGATAACTCCTTCTACCGCCTTCCCATTTTGCTCAAATCGCCGTCTCCACGCTGCCCACTCTGAACATCTGGGTAACGTTAAACACTATATTTGAGACAATGAATATGTTAACTAGTTTGATTTAATTATTCTACATTGTCTTCATAAAGACACCCCTCCAACAACACAATGCATCCCCTTTTTCTTTTTATCATGATGCTTATCCCTTGCTCTCAGGTATGTTCCTTGAGCAGCAGATTCTGGGACAGAGAGGAGCAAGCAGGATATTCATCAGGGAGCACTCGTGACCAGCCCTGGTGAAAGTGAGGGCAGGAAAGCTGGGTGGGGCAGAGAAAGAAGGAGAAGCTGAACTGTAATGCTGCCCTAAAGAAGGCCTCAGCAGACACCACAGGATTTCTGGAGCTTGGACGTTCTGAGTTGAGATGAGAGGCTTGGATTTTCATATACCTGGATGTGGGCTGTGCCTGGAAGCAAACATTACCTTGGATGAAGTAGTTTTCTTTAGCCAAGGCAATTCCCAAAGAAGGAAGACAGCTGAAGGTCAACTTCAATTAGTAGCTGGAGTAGGAAGTCCATTCGTGAAGGGAATTTTGGGTGGAACATCGCAGCATCCACCACATCTCCTAACATTGTACTTGCTTATCACATTCACTGTCTTCCTTTCCCTAGTAGAATACAAGGTCCACAAAGGTTTGGCTCTTTTGTTTTAGATATTTACAGCACCTGGTTGTACACAGTAGGCACTTAAGAAATATTTTTAAATTAACTCCAAAGTAACTTTATTAAGGGCCCAACTCACTCTTCTACTTGAAAGTTCAAGCATATCGTCTCTGGTATAAATCTAGAAAAGTCTACTTAATTGCTCAAAGGATAAGAACTTGGCCCTTTGTTGCCTCCAGGTGTTGGAAGTTATGCTTTCTTCCCTGAAACCAACAAGGCTTAATCTTAGTCTATTTTTAATAGTGGAAGGACTGCATGATTTGAAAAAGAAATGAAAAAGGCACTACCACAAAGTAAAATTAATATATCATAAAGTAATATATCAAAGTAATATGCTACTATGAAAGAGAAAAGAAAGACTAATGCAATTGTGTGGATTAATGTGTCACTATCCATTCTCAACACTTAAGATATTGTTTTTCTCTCCCTCCCCAAAGTTGTTATTAAATAAATAATGCAATGGATGGTTATTTAAATAGAAGAAATATGGAACAACTCTACCTTTGGAGGTTTTCAAAGCATATGATATTTCAAAGTTTCTGAAAGGTCTTAAAGAAACCTGATTTACTCTATTTAATCTATTTAACTCAGTTTACCGACTCTTCTATCCACAAAATCTCTTAGAATTTAGTGTGTCAAGGAACACATTGGAAAGTGATGTCTTGGATAAGTAGCCCTGAAGCCACACAACTGAAAAACTTAAAATATAAAATCAGCATATAAAAAAACACTTACATAATTTTTCCAGGGATATTCTCTTTTTCTCCTTATCTCTCTTACTATCACATAGAATATATTTTTATAATAGTATTTCTCTCAAAGTTATATTCTGTATTTCTAACTAAATGGAGAAATATTAGGATCTCTGGAGTCTAATTATATGCTGTTGGTTTTTATATAACCCTTGGAGAAACAGTGATCACCATCAAATATGGGTTGGTATCTACTAATGAAGTTTACTAAGATCAGCCAACAAGTGCATTTTTATTATGAATTAGTATGGCAGATACTGTTGCCTACCCCATATTCTTTCCTGCCTCCTTCTCTGCCAACAGAGTCCTGATTCTGCTATTGAGGTAATTTACCCAATTGAATCCTTACTTGGCTAATCTACAGCCAAGAATGGTTGCCACGTGACATAGACTGTATGTCTACAAAGGGTTTTAGGGAGATATTTTGCCTTTCTAATTCTAATAAAGAAAAACATATCCTAATTTCCTTTAATTTATGCCTTAGTGGAAGTAACTCAACAGATGAAACTTGAGAAAAATCTATATTCTGGGACACAGATTCCAGAATAGCTTACTCTGTACTATATACTATATAAACTAGTGCTCAGTGATGGAGAACCATGTGTGTTGTGTGGCCTCACTGTTCCTGGTTTTGCACTATGTTGTATATTCCCCTTATTTCTTTCCTGAAATGTTAAATTTCTAGCTTTAAACTTTAGTTCAAATACCATCTCATATTAGAGATTTATTAAAATCAAGCCTAGAAAAAGCTCTAAATAGCATAAACAAAGAATACCCATTTCAACAACCCTTGCAAATAGTTTTATTTCTAAGTACAATTATGTGTATACCATAAAAGAAAATTTTCAAAAATGACTTTGTCCTGAAAGAATTATTATTCTTCCATAGCAAAGGTTCACTCAAAGACTGAGGAAATCTAGGTCAGATCATCCAGACAGGGCACAGATATCCTCAAACAAATGCACATCAGAATCCAATCCAATATTTTGTTCCATGTAGTCTGGATTCAAATTCTGCCTCACTTTTCTGCACTCTCACATTGACTCTGTTCCCATCAGATTTCTTAAGAATGGATTTCCTTTTATTACAGGGCATTGATGATTTAAATCACCTTGCCATCATTATAGCTTCCTAGTATTGAAGAACATGTCTGAAATAGCTGAGATTCATGACAGCATCATAGTCCAAACACTGATGGACTGAAACGACGTATGTGTCTTAAAATCTCTCTGAGAATCTGAGTAACTGGTAGGCAAAGACTCCTGGTTGATATTCAGTTGCTCAATCACAAGTAATTTCATGCATATACAATGCTAACTGGATTTGCTCATCCTTATTTTGTGCCTGTGGTCCACAGAGTCTTTTTCCAAATTACCACTGGAAGCTTTTTACAAAATTTTTTTTATATAATTGAGATCATATTGCTTTAACAGTGTTGCCTATACTAGGTTGAAATCAATTTACTCTAATCTCCCAAGCCCCCAATAGGCCCTTGATCCAAACAAGCTGCTCAATTTCCATTTAAAAAAATACAAACCAACCATGAGGCTGACTGTCAGAGTCACACTCTACACGTACACAAAGAACTAATAGATTTATATGAAGGCTTACTTGTTACATGTCCCATTTTACTTTTATGAGTAAAAATCTAAGTTTTCTGAGATGCAGTGGCTCAAATTTCACAATCCTGTCTTTCCTCATTCGTTCCACTTACCAGGTGGGTAGGTTGTAGGTTGTGTCACCCACTAAAATAAACTATCCAAGTCCCTCCCCCAAAGCCTCTTCAATATTTTTGAGATAAATGTTGGAATTATAGAAATTTCATTATATTTAACTGCATAATAACTTTTTTTGCAGCCGGCTTTTCCTAAGCTAGAGAAGAAGCTGTACTCTCCTCGGTGTGGGAATGACAGAAATGACTTTACAGAGGATAGAAATGCTAACATTAAGTTATTGATCTTCACATTGCTAACATATTGTCATTTTCATATTATTAAGCAGATTAATCAAATTTGCCAGCTTCACATTAAAAATAATCAATTGTGTCTCAAATATTTATCTCCTTATTTAAAAATCTTGTTACACGCTGTGACGAAGAAAACTTGCTTTAGTATTAATCTTGTCATTAACAGACACTCAGAAATGCAAATCACAGGCTTTCCTGAAGCACTTAGAATATTTTGTATTTTATTTTATTTTAATGGCTTGACTGCACTTGAAATTTTAAGAAGGGGGTTCTGTTTATGTTCACCAAAGAAGAATGGGCACTGCTCTCATGACATTTAGAGAGCAACTGGCCCTTGACAACCTATGGATTAACCAGTTAAGCTTGCAGTTGCTGCTCTGCCTCGTTTTGTTTTGTTTTGTTTTGTTTAAGACCCAGGAAGTACTGACATCATTGTGGAAGTATAGAATTCAGTTTCACCAATAAATCAAACTTGGCTCAAGCTGTTAGTAATACTGTCACATTTACAAAGTCAGGCTGAGACTAAGTGACTCAAGAGACTGATAACAAGATATAAAGCTTTTCACCTCCAAGCCTCTGTCTTTAATCAGGCCAGGTCCATGTTGTTGGCCAAGACCTGGCAGAACCCTGAACCAGGGGTCATTATCAGAATTGGCCTGATAAGACTCCACATGGGAAGAGCTATGAGGACAGTAAGGCCAGACGCTGGGTTTTCATAAACAAGTAAAGGGCCAAAGAGCTGAATGTGGTCAATAGAGATGGTCAAAGAGCAGGTGGTAAAGGTTTTAAAGGAAAAATAAAATTTTTATTTTTCCTTTAAAAAGAAAGGAAATGCCTATGGCATGGCAGAAAGGATGGCCATCCCCACACTAGAGAGGGCTACTTTGTTCCTTCTTTGACACCAAGAGCCAGTGATAAAGGTCTGGAGAGAGGTGTGATTGTTGTTAGGTGTGACTGCTAATTTTGTGTACCAACTTGTCTAGGCCAAGGTACCCAAATATTTGGTCAAACATTATTGTGGACGTTTCTATGAAGATATTATTTAGATGAGAATAACATTTAAATCAATAGACTTTGAGTAAAGCACATTGCCCTCCAGAATGTGGGTGGGCCTCATCCAATCAGTCAAAAGCCTCAATAGAAAAAGACTAAACTCTCTCCAGAAGAAGAGAGAATTCAGCCAGCAGCCTGCCTTAAGACTGCACCAGCAACACCACCTCTCTTCTGTGTCTCCAGCCTGCCTGCCTATTATGCAGATTTTGGACTTGCCAGCTTCCATGATTGCGTGAGCCAATTTCTTAAATCTCTCTCTCCAATCCCTCTGTTTTGCCCTATTGTACTCCCTTTTTCCACAACGTCCAAACCCATAAAACATTTATCCATACTTGTATGCCTTCCCTTTTTTTGAGTGCAAGAGATGTCTCTGCTCCTTTCCAGTGATGATCCTTGCTGTTAAGCTCACATCTACCTCCTATTGAGTCCTTCAGCAACTTGACTTAAAAGTATTTTCCTTTTTTGCTTGAATATCATGTCTCTGACTTCTCTACTGACTGTTATCTTTGAATATACACCCCTGCTCAAGGTGCTTTCATCCAAAAAAATTCTTACTTCAACCTCGCCTGAATCATAAGTGAACACCACAACTCTATCTTCCCTCCCTACCAGACTTTCCTCCCTAATTTCCTGTTTATATTCTATCCCCCACTCTACTGAAAACATTGTTAATCACCATAATGATAACTGAATTTTAACATGCCTATTATGGACACTTTATAAAAAATACTTTGTTTTTAACACAGCTTGTGAAGCAGATAGTATCATTAACCCTATCATTTGTAAAAGAAAATTAAGGCTTAAAGGCATTAAGTAGCTTCTTCAAGATGACACAGCTATCAATATTTAAACCCGAGTTGATGTGATGTCTTTTAACATCTAGTTCTGCTTGCTTACTCATTGGCATTTTCTGACATTCCCTGACGTTACAGTACCCATTCCCCTGTCTCTGTTCTCTTTTGCAAGCTTCTGTTTGCCCACTGGGGGAGCTTGCGCCCTACTATTTTTCTGTTGGCGATCCACAGTTTCCTTAACAGCAGATCCACTAGCAGAACAGCTTCAGTGACTCTGCCCTCAAGTTGAGTGTGCTGCCTGTGAGGCACAGGCATGTGGCCACTACAGAAGCATGGTCTGAGAAAGGGAAGGCTGTCTGCACCTGCTGTGTCCAGCCAGGCTCTGAGTCATGCGGTG
The DNA here is from genome assembly GCF_000001405.40 of Homo sapiens. Lineage (NCBI taxonomy): Eukaryota > Metazoa > Chordata > Mammalia > Primates > Hominidae > Homo > Homo sapiens. Next base: position 117,167,922 of record NC_000006.12, read on the forward strand.
AGTCCCTAGTGGAAAGTGAGGGAAGCAGAGGGGCAAACGTGGGCATGCCTTCCACACCCTTCAGGGAATGCAGAAAGAAACCAAGACCAAGAAAGAAGAGCAGCACAGCCGGAAGAAAAGAAAGGCAACCCTGAATACAATCCTAAGAATTTAGTTTCATGAAGAGAGCATGACCCTCTAACCACACTTACTTAGAAGGAAGCTGGCTTACCACCAGAAAAGGCTGTTGTGTACCAACAGTAGTTTCACCACCGTGCAAAGAATGCATTCCTTACACGCAGCTGCAGCATGCCAAGCTTCCAAGCTTTCCCTCGGGCTATCATCTAAAATAGACTCATTCCCATGAATGCTCTCAATTCTGAAAAATACCTGGTTTTCCTCTCCAAAACATGTTTAACTTTTAACAGGTGCCTCCTGTGCCCAAAGGAGTAATTATAGTGAAGCCCTCAGGCATCTTTCCTGACCAGTGACAGGATATTCGGTGGGATACCAGGTCAAGCTGGATAGACATTTATCTTGTTCCCTTAGAGATAAGTCCTGGTTAAGGTTGTAACCCAAGCATTGCCTAATTCCACATTGGATCCATCATCCATGAATTTAGGTACACATCTTTGATTCCATTTGCATTTTCACATTCCTCCTGGAATCCAAAGTCTAATCTTCCCATGCCCTGGGATAGGAAGTGGAGGCACCATCACTGCAGAGATTTGGCCTCTCCCATGGAAGCCATTATGCTCCTGATCCAGAGCTTTGTGGCACCCATTTCCCCCACTTATGTGAAGAGGCTGTCAAAAAGCTTCTCTTAGCAAAGCAGTGTTGGGTTACCAACAGCTGGTAACTGTTCTCTGCAGCCAGGCTGCAGGCTAGTGGGCAATTACGGGTTAAATGTGTGAGGTTGGCTGTGGGTGGCTGCTCTATAACCTGGGCCTCCTGGAGACATGATGCCTTAACTGGAGGATGGCTCTCATGGTAGGAATTACAGAACCTGGCAAGACGGCAGGGAGAGATATTTCAGGGCAGTCAGGCTTTCCAGAACCCAAAATAACAACCAGTAAGAGGCGGCCTACATGGCCCCCACAGAAGGTCAAGCCACCCCTGCTCTGTCAGCATGAACCCTTTGAATCATCTCAACACTTTCTGTTTAGCCAAGCTCTCCCCTCTCCCTGCCCACCATCCTTCTCAGGCTTCAGAGTTATCTTTGAAATGGAGAGGCAATCAGGAATCATTTATCTTTTTACTTAGACTTGATAGAGAATGTCAAATGGGTAAGGCACAAGCTACTGGGGAGACAGCACCCTCCTCTGATCACAGGACTGGAGAAGCTCAATGCTGAGGCAGTCATAGAGAGCTGGCTAGAACTCACATTACCACGATTGCTCCCACAAATCCCAGTTATCCCAAGGATACCGAATCTGTTCCTTGAACCACTGCTCCTTTTCCCTCAAAATGAGTGATGTAAGTATGACAATCATCCACACACAGGATTCCTCTCCCACCACTCACTTTCCATTCCTGCTAGAGGCTCCAAGACACAGCCAGTTAAGCTAAAGATTCCCTGGATTCCCCACAACATAGCAGCTGTGCTTCAGAGAGGTGCTGCAGCTTGTTATGAGAGATGCCACGCGTGGTTCCCGGAGGGTGTATTTTCAATTAATCTGGATGCTTGGCACACTCCAACCATGAACAGAAGCCCAAGGTAGAAATAGATGCCATGACTGGTTTACTCAGAAAGTGTTGAAAATGTTTAATCAATTAATGGTGATAATAAAGAGTCGCCTTGGAAGATAAAATGGCAATTCACCAAGCTGTAACACATTCACGACCAGCCTAACAGCTTACAAGCATTTAGGGTGACTGATGGACAAACACGAGAACTATGCAAATTATGACAGTCCCCTTTTGTGTTTACATTTGTGCATATTTCTGGCTATTTTTGCAGATAGGCAGATTAGCAGCCCTGCTGATAATTTGATCTCTCTGACAGAAGTGAAAAATCATTCACTCTTCCCAGAAACATGTTCCCCATTCCCCCAGTGTATGAATGTAATAAGCTGTCTGGTTGTTACTGTGCAGACAGCAGCCACACACATGAGCAAGCACAAGGATTTCTAAGACAAATTCATTACAAAAACTGGCAAAAAAAAAAAAAAAAAAAAGGCAGTCAAAGCACAAGTAGTATATGGTGAAATAAAATTTAAAATATTTCATTCAAATAATTTAACACCACAAAAATTTGTGACATGACCATAAAGAATGTCATAGTGTTTACTCATTCATTGTCCAACTTTATTTATCAACACAGAAGCTCCTTAAGTGTCAGATCTTTGTCTGTTTTTATTCACTGCTATGTCCCTAGTACCTTTATAGCTGTCTGCTATGTAGAAATGATGAAAAAAAATTGTTGAATTAAATGAAGGAGTTCATTCATTGTTCAGCAAATATTTAGCAATCAAATAATTGAGTACACAGGTTCTTCCCTTCTACATTTGTCTGTTCTCTGATTATTGGACAATATTACTTCTTCAGGATATTCCTTTTGGGGGGATGTGTAAATATCTTGGCTTCTTACCACATTAGTTTGGTTTTTGAAAATAAAAATGAAAACTTTAATATACAAAGAAAAAAATCATAATTTTAAGCCTCTATTAAATAAATGGAACTGTTGACATGTAAGAAAATTAAAAATTAATCTTTGCATTAATGGTATATTTTACAGGAAGCAAATGATCTAGATGCATTTATATAGAAGAATCACATTCTTTTCACTACTGTAGTTATCATGAGTGTTTACATTTCATTAAATATCTTGAGATATATGTGAAGATCTGAAAAATAAAGTAAGTAGGATACTTTTTAATTCAGTCATTATTTTAAAAACAAATGCTAATCAGATATATTAGCTAAATACAGATGGTTATTTGATTTAATTCACCGTTAAAAACCTATTTTAGGACAGCAGTGTGATCCTACTACGCATCTATTAGAATGGCTAAGGTACAAAAAATTGACAGTACCAAATGCTGACAAGGATGTGAAGCAACAGGAACTCTTATTCAGTGTCGTGGGGAATGGCCAGTTTGGAAGCCAATTTGATTGTTTTTTAAAAAAGAAAAACAGTTTTGCCATCTGACCCAGTGACTGTGCTACTGAATATTTACCCAGTTGATCTGAAAACGCTCACACAAAATCCTGTACACAAATATTTATAATAGCTTTATGCATAATCTCCAAAAATAGAAGCAACTAAGAGGCTTTTCCATGGGTGAAGAGTAAACCCATAAATTCATAAAATGCAGTATTATTCACTGATAAAAAGAGATCAGGGAGCAACTCACGAAAGACATATGTGAACCTTAAATGCATGTTGCTAAGTGAAATAAGCCAGTCTGAAAAGGCTACATACAGTATGATGCTAACTATATGACATTCTGGCAAAGGCAAAGGTAAAAAGATCAGTGGTTGCCAGAGGTTTGTGGGTAGAGAAGAGAGGCTGACTATGCAAAGAGGAGGTTTCTTTTAAGGCAGTGAAAATATTCTGTGTGACATTATAATAATACATACATAACACTCTGCATTTGGCAAAATCCATAGAACATTATAACATAAAGGATGAACTTTATTGTATTTTTTTAAAAAATCATTTAAGAGGTTAGGGGAAACCGCAGGATGGAATGCAGAATGTAACGAAACAATCTAACTCTATTACAAATGTATGAAACAACCTCACTGAAGTTGGGGAGCAAGGAGAAGGAGGTGCTGCCTTCAGTAGCAATAGAAAAAACATAGTTTCTGTAAAGCTAAAGGCAAAAGGAACGGTATATAAATACTATACTGTAGTTGAAAAAGTGATTTCCAACAAGCATAAAAGTTAACAATTCTGATACAATTATCTACATACACTAGAATTCAATGATTGTGTAAATGAATGGTGAATGATGACAGCCAGATTTTTTAAATTTGGAGTGGTAATTTGCAGATAACCAAAGAAAGGAGACTGAATAATTATTTTGCAATGGATTAAAATTGGAATTATATTTAATTTAATATAGTTACATAGAGAAATATCTATAGATATGTGTATATATGAGGGGACTAAAAAGTTTATGCAAAATGTGTATTACAAAAAAACTATGCATGGATTTCAAAAATTTTTTGCATCAAATAAACTCATCCTAACATGTTAATATGTTTGAACAGGATCTACTTTGATGAACTAGGAAGGAGAAGACATTAGCTTGAAAGGAGCCACTATTAAAGCAACATTAATTCTGCTAAAATTGAAGCAAGAACTAACATCAAATTTATGTTGAAGCTTGGGTGGAAGAATGATGAAATCATTGATGCTTTTAAGAAATGCTTATGGGGAAAATGGTCCCAAAGAAATCAGCAGTTTACAAAAAAATAACTTGCTTGAAAAAGGGATGAGACATGAAACCCATAGCAGCAAACCACCCACATCAATTTGCGAGGAAAAAAACTCATCTTTTTCATACCCTTATTGAAGAAGACCAATGATTGGCAGCATAGACAATAGGCAATACTATAGACATCACAGTTAGTTCAGCTTACACAATTCTGTTGGCAAAAAAATTAAATTGGGCAAACTTTCTACTTGATGGGTGCCAAAACCATTGCACCAAATTAGTTGCAGGGAAAAGCAAAGCTTTCAATTGAAATTTTAAACAAGTAGGATCAGGATCCTAAAGCATGTCTGTAGGATCAAGATCCTAAAGCATTTCTTTAGGATCAAAAATTAAATTCAAAAATTGTAACAGGAGATAAAACATGGCTTTACCAGTACAATCCTGAAGACAAAGCACAATCAAAGCAATGGCTACTAAGAGGTGGAAATGGTCCAGTCAAAGCAAAAGCAGACCAGGCAAGAGCAAAGGTTATGACAACAGTTTTGAGGATATGCAAGGCATTTTGCTTGTTGACATTCTAGAGGAGCAAAGAACAATAACATCTGCATATTATAAGAGTATTTTGACAAAGTTAGCCAAAGCTTTAGCAGAAAAATTCCCAGTAAACCTTTACCAGAGTCCTTCTCCACCATGACAATGCTCCTGCTCATTCCTCTCGCCAAAAAAGGGCAAGTTTGAGAGAGTTTCAACGGGAAATCATTAGGCATCCACCTTACAGTACTATTTGGCTCCTTGTAACTTCTTTTTGTTTCCTAATATTAAAAAGTTACTAAAGGACACCCATTTTTCTTCAGTTAATAAAGTAAAAAATACTGTATTGACTGGTTAAATTCCCAGGACTCTCAGTTCTTAAAGGATAGACTAAACAGCTGGTATCATCACTTACAAAAGCATCTTGAACCTGATGAAGCTTACATTGGAAAATAAAGTTTGCAGTTTTTATGTTTATAATTTCATTATTCCAAGAACTTTTTGAAGTCCCCTCACATATGGGGTTGCCTACACACAAAATTCATTGCTCTGTCAGCTGAGAATACCTAGAAGCAATAACATTTCAGTAGCAATGAGCACACCTAGTGCCCAGATCTTGTTTCTAAAACTGTTTTCCAATAAAAGGACTCAGTGTTTCTTTGAGAAGTGACTGATGCTGAAACTGAAGTGTAAATTATACAAGATAAGCCTAGAGCATCTTATAGTGCCAGAAAGTAAGACCATGCTCAAAACAAATATCGGTTAATTTAAAAATTTAAAACTTCCTTGATGGGGGTATGTCAAAGGGACACAAAAGAAAACTAAAAGAAATGGCCAACCTCCCAATGACAAATGACAAAAATAAATGAACAAATTTGAGCAACACAATAAAGTTGTATTGAACTATAACTCAAAGTATAAAATAAGTACCCGTTATTCCATATGATAAAAAGTAAATTATTGAATAAGTAGATAAATAAATAAATGGGGGAGAAGAGACAAATCTCCCATGAAGAATAAATCCAAATAATTTATGTAGATGTTCTGCATTCAAGCAGAGGAGCATAACTCCCACTCCATAAGCATAGGCTCCACATAGTGACTTTTTCCCAAAGAGTACAGTGTGGAGCAAGGTTTTAAAAAAACTAACTTTATAGTGGAGAAAACTGAAAAATGGTACATCAGCCAGGTGACCAGGTCAATATCAACCATGATAAACTGTGCAGGTAGTATGTACACTTAAGATGAGAATGGCACTTTGCTTCTGTAGTCTTCCACCCAAAATTTGTAACTCCAGTCTAATTATGAGAAAAATTAAAAAAAGAAAAAAAAGAAGGGAAAAGAAAAAAAAATCCAGGCCTGGCACGGTGGCTCACACCTGTAATCCTAGTACTTTAAAAGCCAAGGCAGAGAGATCACTTGAGGCCAGGAGTTCTAGGCCAGCCTGGCTAACACAGCAAAACCCCATCACTACTAAAAATACAAAAATTAGCTGGGCATGGTGGCACACACCTGAAATCCCAGCTACTTGGGAGGCTGGAGAATCACTTGAACCCAGGAGATGGAGGTTGCAGTGAGCCAAGATCATGCCACTGCACTCCAGCCTGGGTGGCAGAGCAAGACTCTGTCTCAAAAAAAAAAAAAAAATTCAGTATAGGGGCATCCTACACATTTTCTGACCAGTACTCTTCAAAACTGTCAAAATCATCAATAACAAGAGAAATCTGAGAAACTGTCTCAGCCAAGAGGAGCCTAAGGAGACTTAACTACTAAATGTAATGTAGTATCCTGGATGGCATCCTATAACAGAAAAATGGCATTAAGTAAAGCCTAAGAGATCTAAATAAATTATGGACTTTGATTAATAATCATGTATTGATATTGGCACATTGTAGCAAATATACCATACTAGTGTAAGATGTTGATAATAGGGAAACTGGGTACAGGGTTAAGGGACTCTACATACTATCTTTGCAATTTATCTGCAAATCTAAAACTGATCTAAAAATGAGGTTTATATTTTAAAATTCTCATTTTACAGTAAAAAAATACTGAAGCATTTACATGTGAAAAAAAAACATGATATCTTGGATTCACTTAAAACATATTTATTAAAAAAAGTGTGGGTGTATGTGGTGATTAATTTCATGTGTCATCTTGACTGAATCATGAGGTGTCCAGACATGTGGTAAAACATTATTCTGGATATGTCTGTGAGGGTGTGACTAGATGAGATCAACATTTGAACCAGTAGACTGAGCAAAGCCAGTTGCCCTCTCTCAGTGTGAGCCTAACCCAATCAATTGAAGTCCTAAATAGAACAGAAAGGCTGAGCAAGAGGAAACACCTCCCACATGACTGCTTGAACTACTACATAGGTTTTTTCCTACCTTTGGACTCTTAATTATGAACCAAAGGGCAATAAAAAGAAAATAAAAGAAACACAGAGAAAGTCACCAGCACTGATTTCTACAAAGCAGAGATTCACATTATTAGGTAACTGCAATCTGGCCACAGACAAGCTGGTATAAAAATGCCTCACCTCAGCAGCAGCCCCAGTCAGGGGCTTATAGATAAAACTCCCAACTCCCTGGGACAGAGCACCTGGGGGAAGGGGCAGCTGTGGGCATAGCTTCAGCAGACTTAAACGTTCTTGCCTGCCAGCTCTGAAGAGAGTAGCAGATCTCCCAGCACAGTGTTCGAGATCCGCTAAGGGACAGACTGCCCCCTCATGTGGGTCCCTAACTCCCATGCCTCCTGACTGGGAGACACCTCCCAGCAAGAGTCGACAGACTTCATACAGGAGAGCTCACCTGGTGTCTGGCGGGTGCCCCTCTGGGATGAAGCTTCCAGAGGAGAGGGCAGGCAGCAAACTTTCCTGTTCTGCAGCCTCTGCTGGTGATACCTGGGCAAACAGGGTCTGGAGTAGACCTCCAGCAAACTCCAGTAGACCTGCAGCAGAGGGACCTGAATGTTAGAAGGAAAACTAACAAGCAGAAAGCAATAGCATCAACATCCACAGAACGACGCCCACACAAAAACACCATCAGAAGGTCACCAACATCAAAGACCAAAGGTAGATAAATCCACAAAGATGAGGGAAAATCCAGCACAAAAAGTGGAAAATTCCAAAAACCGAATGCCTCTTCTCCTCCAAAGGATCACAGTTCCTCACCAGCAAGGGAACAAAACTGGATGGAGAATGAGTTTCACAAATTGACAGAAGTAGGCTTCGAAGGGGGGTAATAACAAACTCCTTCCAGCTAAAGGAGCATGTTCTAACCCAATGCCAGGAAGCTAAGAACACGGGTAAAAGGTTACAGGAACTGCTAGTTAGAATAACCAGTTTAAAGAAGAATATAAATGACCTGATGGAGCTGAAAATCTCAACACAAGAACTTCGTGAAGCATATACAAGTATAAATAGCCAAATCGATCAAGCAGAGGAAATCAATCTTCAAGAGAATGAAGATCAACTTAATGAAATAAAGTGTGAAGAGAAGATTACAGAAAAAAGAATGAAAAGGAACAAACTAAGCCTCCAAGAAATATGGGACTATGTGAAAAGACCAAACCTACGTTTGATTGGTGTACCTGAAAGTGATGGGGAGAATGGAACCAAGGTGGAAAACACTCTTCAGGATATTATACAGAACTTCCCCAACCTAGCAAGAAAGGCCAACATTCAAATTCAGGAAATACAGAGAACACCACAAATATACTCCTCGAGAAGAGCAACGCCAAGACACATAATCTTCAGATTCACCAAGGTTGAAATGAAGGAAAAAATGTTAAGGGCAGCCAGAGAGAAAAGTCGGGTTACCCACAAAGGGAAGCCCATCAGACTAACAGTGAATCTCTCAGCAGAAACCCTACAAGCCAGAAGATAGCGGGGGCCAATATTCAACATTCTTAAAGAAAAGAATTTTCAACCAAGAATTTCATAACCAGCCAAACTAAGCTTCATAAGCGAAGGAGAAATAAAATCCTTTGCAGAGAAGCAAATGCTGAGGGATTTTGTCACCACCAGACATACATTATAAGAGCTCCTTAAGGAAGCACTAAACATGGAAAGGAAAAAACAGTACCAGCCACTGCGAAACCTTACCAAAATGTAAAGACCATTGACACTAGGAAGAAACTGCCTCAACTAATGGGCAAAATAACCAGCTAACATCATAATGACAAGATCAAATTCACATGTAACAATATAACCTTAAATGTAAACGGGCTAAATGCCCCAATTAAAAGACGTAGACTGGCAAATTGGATAAACAGTCAAGATCCATTAATGTGCTGTATTCAGGAGACACATCTCATGTGCAAAGACACACATAGGATCAAAATAAAGGGATGGAGGAATATTTACCAAGCAAATGGAAAGCAAAAGAAAAAAAAAAGCAGGGGCTGCAATCCTAGTCTCTGAGAAAATAGACTTTAATCCAACAAAGATCAAAAAAGACAAAGAAGGGCATTACATAATGGTAAAAGTTTCAATGCAACAAGAAGAGTTAACTATCCTAAGTATATATGAACCCAATACAGGAGCACCCAGATTCATAAAGCAAGTTCTTAGATACCTACAAAGAGACTTAGACTCCCACACAATAATAGTGGGAGAACTTAACACCCCACTGTCAATATTAGTCAGATTCAATGAGACAGAAAATTAACAAGGATATTCAGGACTTGAACTCAGCTCTGGCCCAAGCAGACCTAATATACATCTACAGATCTCTCTATTCCAAATCGACAGAATATAAATTCTTCTCAGCACCACATCGCACTTATTCTAAAAGTGACCACATAATTGGTAGTAAAACACTCCTCAGCAAATGCAAAAGTATGGAAATCATAGTCTCTCAGACCAAGTTCAATCAAATTAGACTTCAGGATTAAGAAACTCACTCAAAACTACACAACTACATGGAAACTGAACAACCTGTTCCTGAACAACTACTGGGTCAATAATGAAATTAAGGCAGAAATAAATAAGTTCTTTGAAACCAGTGAGAACAAAGACAGGACATACCAGAATCTCTGGAACACAGCTAAAGCAGTGTTTAGAGGGAAATTTATAGCACTAAATGCCCACATGAGAAAGGGGAAAGATCTAAATTCAACACCCTAACATCACAATTAAAAGAACTAGAGAAGCAAGAGCAAACAAATTCAAAAGCTAGCAGAAGACCAGAAACAACTAAGGTCAGAGCAGAACTAAAGGAGACAGAGACACAAAAAAACCCTTCAAAAAAATCAATGAATCCAGGAGCTGGTTTTTTGAAAAGATTAACAAAATAGATTGACCACTAGCCAGACAATAAAGAAGAAAATAGAGAAGAATCAAGTAGACACAATACAAAATGATAAAGGGGATATCACCACTCACCCAACAGAAATAAAAACTACCATCAGAGAATACTATGAACACTTCTATGCAAATAAACTGGAAAATCTAGAAGAAATGGATGAATTCCTGGACACATACACCCTCACAAGACTAAACCAGGAAGAAGTCAAACCCCTGCACAGACCAATAACAAGTTCTGAAATTGAGGCAGTAGTTAATAGCGTACCAACCAAAAAAAGTCCAGGACCAGACAGATTCACAGCCGAATTCTACCAGAGGTACAAAGAGGAGCTGGTACCATCCCTTCTGAAACTATTCCAAACAATAGAAAACTCATTTTATGAGGCCAGCATCATCCTGATACCAATACCTGGCAGAGACACAACAAAAAAAGAAAATTTCAGGCCATCCATGCAAATATCCTCAATAAAATACTGGCAAACCGAATCCAGTAGCACATCAAAAGGCTTATCCACCACGATCAAGTCAGCTTCATACATGGGATGCAAGGCTGGTTCAACATACACAAGTCAATAAACATAATCCATCACATAAACAGAAACAATGACAAAAGCCACATGATTATCTTAATAGATGCAGAAAGGCCTTCAATAAAATTCATGACCCCTTCATGCTAGAAACACTAAATGAACTAGGTATTGATGGATTGTATCTCAAAATAATAGGAGCTATTTATGAAACACCAACAGCCAATATCATACTGAATGGACAAAAGCTGGAAGCATTTCCTTTGAAAACTGGCACAAGACAAGGATGACCCCACTCACCACTCTTTTTCAACATAGTGTTGGAAGTTCTGGCAAGGGTAATCAGGCAAGAGAAAGAAATAAAGCCAATTCAAATAGGAAGAGAGGAAGTCAAATTGTCTCTGTTTGCAGATGACATGATTGTATATTTAGAAAATCCCATTGTCTCAGTCCAAAAACTCCTTAAGCTGATAAGCAACTTCAGCAAAGTCTCAGGATACAAAATCAATGTGCAAAAATCACAGGCATTCCTATACACCATTAACAGACAAACAGAGAGCCAAATCATGAGTGAACTCCCATTCATAATTGCTTCAAAGAGAATAAAATACCTAGGAATACAACTTACAAGAAATGTGAAGGACCTCTTCAAGGAGAACTACAAACCACTGCTCAAGGAAATAAGAGAAGACACAAACAAATGGAAAAACATTCCATGCTCATGGATAGGGAGAATCAGTATCATGAAAATGGCCATACTGCCCAAAGTAATTTATAGATTTTTTGCCGTATCAAGCTACCATTGACTTTCTTCACAGAATTAGAAAAAACTAATTTAAATTTCATATGGAACCAAAAACAGCCTGTATAGCCAAGACAATCTTAAGCAAATAGAACAAAGCTGGACGCATCATGCTACCTGACTTCAAACTATACTACAAGGCTACAGTAACCAAAACAGCATGTTACTGGTACCAAAATAGACATATAGACAAATGGAACAGAATAGAGGCCTCAGAAATAACACCACACATCTACAACCATCTGATCTTTGATAAACCTGACAAAAAAAAGTAATGGGGAAAAGATTCCTTATTTAATAAATGGTGTTGGGAAAACTGGCTAGCCATATGCAGAAAACTGAAACCGGACCCCTTCCCTACACCTTATACAAAAATTAACTCAAGATGGATTAAAGACTTAAATGTAAGACCTAAAACCATAAAAACCCTAAAAGAAAACCTAGGCAATACCATTCAGGACATAGGCATGGGCAAAGACTTCATGACTAAAACACCAAAAGCAGTGACAACAAAAGCCAGAATTGACAAATGGGATCTAATTAAACTAAATAGCTTCTGCACAGCACAAGAAACTATCATCAGAGTGAACAGGCAACGTACAGAATGGGAGAAAATTTTGCAATCTTTCCATCTGACAAAGGGCTAATATGCAGAATCTACAAAGAACTTAAATAAATTTACAATTAAGAAAAAAACAACCCCATCAAAAAGTGGGTGGAGGATATGAACAGACAGTTCTCAAAAGTAGAGATTTATATGGCCAACAAGCATATGAAAAAAAGCTCATCATCACTGGTCATTAGAGAAATGCAAATCAAAACCACAATGAGATACCATCTCATGTCAGTCAGAATGGCGATCATTAAAAAGTCAGGAAACAACAGATGCTGGAGAGGATGTGGAGAAATAGGAATGCTTTTAAACTGTTGGTGGGAATGTAAATTAGTTCAACCATTGTGGAAGACATTGTGATGATTCCTCAAGGATCTAGAATCAGAAATACTATTTGACCCAGCAATCCCACTGCTGGGTATATATCTAAAGGATTATAAATCATTCTACTATAAAGACACATGCACACATATATTTATTGCAGCACTATTCACAATAGCAAAGACTTGGAACCAACCCAAGTACCCATCAATGATAGAGTGGATAAAGGTAATGTGGCACATATACACCATGGAATGCTATGCAGCCATGAAAAACGATGAGTTCGTGTCCTTTGCAGGGACATGGATGAAGCTGGAAACCATCATTCTTAGCAAACTAACACAGCAACAGACAACCAAACACTGCATGTTCTCATTCATAAGTGGGAGTTGAACAATGAGAACACATGGACACAGGGAGGGGAATATTCAAACTAGGGCCTGTTGGGGGGTGGGGGGCTAGGGGAGGGATAGCATTAGGAGAAATACCTAATGTACATGACGGATTGATGGGTGCAGCAAATCACCATGGCACATGTGTACCTATGTAACAAACCTGCACCTTCTGCACATGTATCCCAGAACTTAAAGTATAATAAAAAAATAAAATAAAAATAAAAAAGAATACCTTACCTCATCCCATTCAAGTTATTCCCCCAAAGAATTTCCCCATCTCTTCCAATTTTTGACAGTTCTCCCTGTCACATTTTTGTCATTTATTCATTCACTCAACAAATAGTTGAATGTCCATCCTGTTCTAGGCCTTGGAGAATCAACAGAAATCAAAAGCAGCCAATCCTTGACCAATGGGACTTCTAAAAGGGAAAACAAATAATAAAACAATCTAAAAAGAAATGTAAAATTGTTATTGCAAATTGTGCTATGAAAATAATACATATGGTGCTGGCAAAGGAATTACTTGGCCTAATGTGGAGTTCAAAACAAACAAATAAACAAACAAACAATGCCTACAGTCCAAAAATTTAAAAGTAGCAGTGAAAGTGTATCATTTAGAGACTTGGTGGTAAATATCAAAGTAATTACCTAAAAGAAATGAAAGTGGGTTGTCTCTGGGAAGCAGGAAATGGGAGAAAGGAGGCAGAGTACTGCTGTTTTTTGAAAACTGTTTTTTTTTTTAACTATTTTACTCTCTAAATTGCATACTCAAAAAATTTTGATAAAAAATTATTTTAAAGGAAGAAAACAAATATATACTTTGGCAACATTTACCAAGAGGAAAGCAAACATCAAAATTACTAGTATGAAACATACTCCTAAAAAAGAAAACAGCCACAGATACAGAAGAGATTAAAAAGATAAGAAACTACTACAAACAAATTTATTCCTATAAATTTGAAAAGTAAGATAAAATGGTTAGATTTCTCTCTTGAAAAACTTATCAAAATCAACTCTAAAGAAAATCAGTCAGGGAGGAGCCAAGATGGCCGAATAGGAACAGCTCCGGTCTACAGCTCCCAGCCTGAGCGACGCAGAAGACGGGTGATTTCTGCATTTCCAACTGAGGTACCGGGTTCATCTCACTAGGGAGTGCCAGACAGTGGGCGCAGGTCAGTGGGTGCGCGCACCGTGCGCGAGCCGAAGCAGGGCGAGGCATTGCCTCACTTGGGAAGCGCAAGGGGTCAGGGAGTTCCCTTTCCGAGTCAAAGAAAGGGGTGACGGACGCACCTGGAAAATCGGGTCACTCCCACCCGAATACTGCGCTTTTCTGACGGGCTTAAAAAATGGCGCGCCACGAGAGTATATCCCGCACCTGGCTTGGAGGGTCCTATGCCCACGGAGTCTCGCTGATTGCTAGCACAGCAGTCTGAGATCAAACTGCAAGGCGGCAGCGAGGCTGGGGGAGGGGCGCCTGCCATTGCCCAGGCTTGATTAGGTAAACTAAGCAGCCTGGAAGCTTGAACTGGGTGAAGCCCACCACAGCTCAAGGAGGCCTCCCTGCCTCTGTAGGCTCCACCTCTGGGGGCAGGGCACAGACAAACAAAAAGACAGCAGTAACCGCTGCAGACTTAAATGTCCCTGTCTGACAGCTTTGAAGACAGCAGTGGTTCTCCCAGCACGCAGCTGGAGATCTGAGAACGGGCAGACTGCCTCCTCAAGTGGCTCCCTGAACCCTGACCCCCGAGCAGCCTAACTGGGAGGCACCCCCCAGCAGGAGCACACTGACACCTCACACGGCAGGGTATTCCAACCGACCTGCAGCTGAGGGTCCTGTCTGTTAGAAGGAAAACTAACAAACAGAAAGGATATCCACACCAAAAACTCATCTGTACATCACCATCATCAAAGACCAAAAGTAGATAAAACCACAAAGATGGGGAAAAAAACAGAACAGAAAAACTGGAAACTCTAAAAAGCAGAGCGCCTCTCCTCCTCCAAAGGAACGCAGTTCCTCACCAGCAACGGAACAAAGCTGGATGGAGAATGACTTTGATGAGCTGAGAGAAGAAGGCTTCAGATGATCAAATTACTCTGAGCTACGGGAGGACATTCAAACCAAAGGCAAAGAAGTTGAAAACTTTGAAAAAAATTTAGAAGAATGTATAACTAGAATAACCAATACAGAGAAGTGCTTAAAGGAGCTGATGGAGCTGAAAACCAAGGCTTGAGATCTACATGAAGAATGCAGAAGCCTCAGGAGCCGATGTGATCAACTGGAAGAAAGAGTATCAGCAATGGAAGATGAAAAGAATGAAATGAAGCAAGAAGGGAAGTTTAGAGAAAAAAGAATAAAAAGAAATGAGCAAAGCCTCCAAGAAATATGAGACTATGTGAAAAGACCAAATCTACGTCTGATTGGGGTACCTGAAAGTGATGGGGAGAATGGAACCAAGTTGGAAAACACTCTGCAGGATATTATCCAGGAGAACTTCCCCAATCTAGCAAGGCAGGCCAACGTTCAGATTCAGGAAATACAGAGAACGCCACAAAGATACTCCTCGAGAAGAGCAACTCCAAGACACATAATTGTCAGATTCACCAAAGTTGAAATGAAGGAAAAAATGTTAAGGGCAGCCAGAGAGAAAGGTTGGCTTACCCTCAAAGGGAAGCCCATCAGACTAACAGCGGATCTCTCGGCAGAAACCCTACAAACCAGAAGAGAGTGGGGGCCAATATTCAACATTCTTAAAGAAAAGAATTTTCAACCCAGAATTTCATATCCAGCCAAACTAAGCTTCATAAGCGAAGGAGAAATAAAATACTTTACAGACAAGCAAATGCTGAGAGATTTTATCACCACCAGGCCTGCCCTAAAAGAGCTCCTGAAGGAAGCGCTAAACATGGAAAGGAACAACCGGTACCAGCCACTGCAAAATCATGCCAAAATGTAAAGACCGTCGAGACTAGGAAGAAACTGCATCAACTAACGAGCAAAATAACCAGCTAACATCATAATGACAGGATCAAATTCACACATAACAACATTAACTTTAAATGTAAATGGACTAAATGCTCCAATTAAAAGACACAGACTGGCAAATTGGATAAAGAGTCAAGACCCATCAGTGTGCTGTATTCAGGAAACCCATCTCACCTGCAGAGACGCACATAGGCTCAAAATAAAAGGATGGAGGAAGATCTACCAAGCAAATGGAAAACAAAAAAAGGCAGGGGTTGCAATCCTAGTCTCTGATAAAACAGACTTTAAACCAACAAAGATCAAAAGAGACAAAGAAGGCCATTACATAATGGTAAAGGGATCAATTCAACAAGAAGAGCTAACTATCCTAAATATATATGCACCCAATACAGGAGCACCAAGATTCATAAAGCAAGTCCTGAGTGACCTACAAAGAGACTTAGACTCCCACACATTAATAATGGGAGACTTTAACACCCCACTGTCAACATTAGACAGATCAACGAGACAGAAAGTCAACAAGGAAACCCAGGAATTGAACTCAGCTCTGCACCAAGCAGACCTAATAGACATCTACAGAACTCTCCACCCAAAATCAACAGAATATACATTTTTTTCAGCACCACACCACACCTATTCCAAAATTGACCACATACTTGGAAGTAAAGCTTTCCTCAGCAAATGTAAAAGAACAGAAATTATAACAAACTATCTCTCAGACCACAGTGCAATCAAACTAGAACTTAGGATTAAGAATCTCACTCAAAACCACTCAACTACATGGAAACTGAACAACCTGCTCCTGAATGACTACTGGGTACATAACAAAATGAAGGCAGAAATAAAGATGTTCTTTGAAACCAACGAGAACAGAGACACAACATACCAGAATCTCTGGGATGCATTCAAAGCAGTGTGTAGAGGGAAATTTATAGCACTAAATGCCCACAGGAGAAAGCAGGAAAGATCCAAAATTGACACCCTAACATCACAATTAAAAGAACTAGAAAAGCAAGAGCAAACACATTCAAAAGCTAGCAGAAGGCAAGAAATAACTAAGATCAGAGCAGAACTGAAGGAAATAGAGACACAAAAAACCCTTCAAAAAATTAATGAATCCAGGAGCTGGTTTTTTGAAAGGATCAACAAAATTGATAGACCGCTAGCAAGGCTAATAAAGAAAAAAAGAGAGAAGAATCCAATAGACGCAATAAAAAATGATAAGGGGGATATCACCACCGATCCCACAGAAATACAAACTACCATCAGAGAATACTACAAACACCTCTACGCAAATAAACTAGAAAATCTAGAAGAAATGGATAAATTCCTTGACACATACACTCTCCCAAGACTAAACCAGGAAGAAATTGAATCTCTGAATAGACCAATAACAGGATCTGAAATTGTGGCAATAATTAATAGCTTACCAACCACAAAGAGTCGAGGACCAGATGGTTTCACAGCCGAATTCTACCAGAGGTACAAGGAGGAACTGGTACTATTCCTTCTGAAACTATTCCAATCAACAGAAAAAGAGGGAATCCTCCCTAGCTCATTTTATGAGGCCAGCATCATTCTGATACCAAAGCCAGGCAGAGACACAACCAAAAAAGAGAATTTTAGACCAATATCCTTGATGAACATTGATGCAAAAATCCTCAATAAAATACTGGCAAAATGAATCCAGCAGCACATCAAAAAGCTTATCCACCATGATCAAGCGGGCTTCGTCCCTGGGATGCAAGGCTGGTTCAATATATGCAAATCAATAAATGTAATCCAGCATATAAACAGAGCCAAAGACAAAAACCACATGATTATCTCAATAGACGGAGAAAAGGCCTTTGACAAAATTCAACAACCCTTCATGCTAAAAACTCTCAATAAATTAGGTATTGATGGGACGTATCTCAAAATAATAAGAGCTATCTATGACAAACCCACAGCCAATATCATACTGAAAGGGCAAAAACTGGAAGCATTCCCTTTGAAAACTGGCACAAGACAGGGATGCCCTCTCTCACCACTCCTATTCAACATAGTGTTGGAAGTTCTGACCAGGGCAATTAGGCAGGAGAAGGAAATAAAGGGTATTCAATTAGGAAAAGAGGAAGTCAAATTGTCCCTGTTTGCAGATGACATGATTGTATATCTAGAAAACCCCATTGTCTCAGCCCAAAATCTCCTTAAGCTGATAAGCAACTTCAGCAAAGTCTCAGGATACAAAATCAATGTACAAAAATCACAAGCATTCTTATACACCAACAGCAGACAAACAGAGAGTCAAATCATGAGTGAACTCCCATTCACAATTGCTTCAAAGAGAATGAAATACCTAGGAATCCAACTTACAAGGGATGTGAAGGACCTCTTCAAGGAGAACTACAAACCCCTGCTCAATGAAATAAAAGAGGATACAAACAAATGGAAGAGCATTCCATGCTCATGGGTAGGAAGAATCAATATCGTGAAAATGGCCATACTGCCCAGGGTAATTTAGAGTTTCAATGCAATCCCCATCAAGCTACCAATGCCTTTCTTCACAGAATTGGAAAAAACTACTTTAAAGTTCATATGGAACCAAAAAAGAGCCCGCATCGCCAAGTCAATCCTAAGCCAAAAGAACAAAGCTGGAGGCATCACACTACCTGACTTCAAACTATACTACAAGGCTACAGTAACCAAAACAGCATGGTACTGGTACCAAAACAGAGATATAGATCAATGGAACAGAACAGAGCCCTCAGAAATAACGCCGCATATCTACAACTATCTGATCTTTGACAAACCTGAGAAAAACAAGCAATGGGGAAAGGATTCCCTATTTAATAAATGGTGCTGGGAAAACTGGCTAGCCATATGTAGAAAGGTGAAACTGGATCCCTTCCTTACACCTTATACAAAAATCAATTCAACATGGATTAAAGACTTAAACGTTAGACCTAAAACCATAAAAACTCTAGAAGAAAACCTAGGCATTACCATTCAGGACATAGGCATGGGCAAGGACTTCATGTCTAAAACACCAAAAGCCATGGCAACAAAAGACAAAATTGACAAATGGGATCTAATTAAACTAAAGAGCTTCTGCACAGCAAAAGAAACTACCATCAGAGTGAACAGGCAACCTACAACCTACTCTTCTGACAAAGGGCTAATATCCAGAATCTACAATGAACTCAAACAAATTTACAAGAAAAAAACAAACAACCCCATCAAAAAGTGGGCGAAGGACATGAACAGACACTTCTCAAAAGAAGACATTTATGCAGTCAAAAAACACATGAAAAAATGCTCATCATCACTGGCCATCAGAGAAATGCAAATCAAAACCACAATGAGATACCATCTCACACCAGTTAGAATGGCAATCATTAAAAAGTCAGGAAACAATAGGTGCTGGAGAGGATGTGGAGAAATAGGAACACTTTTACACAGTTGGTGGGACTGTAAACTAGTTCAACCATTGTGGAAGTCAGTGTGGCGATTCCTCAGGGATCTAGAACTGGAAATACCATTTGACCCAGCCATCCCATTACTGGGTATATACCCAAAGGACTATAAATCATGCTGCTATAAAGACACATGCACACGTATGTTTATTGCGGCATTATTCACAATAGCAAAGACTTGGAACCAACCCAAATGTCCAACAATGATAGACTGGATTAAGAAAATGTGGCACATATACACCATGGAATACTATGCAGCCATAAAAAATGATGAGTTCATGTCCTTTGTAGGGACATGGATGAAATTGGAAATCATCATTCTCAGTAAACTATCGCAAGAACAATAAACCAAACACTGCATATTCTCACTCATAGGTGGGAATTGAACAATGAGAACACATGGACACAGGAAGGGGAACATCACACTCTGGGGACTGTTGTGGGGTGGGGGGAGGCGGGAGGGATAGCATTGGGAGATATACCTAATGCTAGATGACGAGTTATTGGGTGCAGCGCACCAGCATGGCACATGTATACATATGTAACTAACCTGCACAATGTGCACATGTACCCTAAAACTTAAAGTATAATAGTAATAAAAAAAAAAGAAAATCTGTCATAAGTAGGTATTTCACAAATGCCTGATAAGCATATAAATTATTTTCAACTTCAATTGAAATTAAAGAAATATAAATAAGATCTCAATAATGTAACATTTTAAACCTACTCAACTGGTAAAAGTTAAAGACATGGAAAAACCAAGCACTGGCAAAGGTGTAGAACAACAGAAACTCTTATTAACTCCTTGTACAAGCATTGAAATAAAATTGGGATTACTGTTTTAAAGCAAGCATGTGCATACTCTTCATTCCAAGGGATTCACATTAACCTGGGGAAACTCCTGGGAATTTGCACCATACAACATTGAATGAAAATGTACACAGTTTCATTAAAAACAAAAGGAAAAAAGAAAATTCAAGTATATATAAACAGAAGAACAAATGAATAATTGTGAAACAGACAAAAATGGAATGTTACATAGCAGTGAAAATAACTAGCTTCATGCGTAACTTGAATGGATTTTGTAAACATAATATTAGGGAGGAAGGCTCAGAAGACTAAATAAAAGCAATTTTATAGAGCTCAATGATATTCTTTGAAGACATACATATGTGATAAAATTATTATGTTTTTACAACCAATAATAAACACAAAATCCGGGGTAGTGTTTACCTCTTGTTGAAGAGAAGGAGATAGGAAGACGGCATTTGGAAAAGGTACCTTTGTATTTCAAGAGTACTGGGAATGTTGTGCCTATACTAGGAATTAGAATCAAAAAAGTTTTTTTTATTACTATGCCTGATTAATTACAGATATGTTACATTCATTCATTTATATAAAATATTATATACTATAATGTTTCATAATATCATTACCTCTGTTTCTCCTATCATACTGAAATACAAATTCTAACAATTCTCAGTTAAATAAATGTACAGAAGGTTTCTTTCTGAAAATGTATACCTACTTAGTCTCTAATCCACTGATAAGAGAATTACACACACACACACACACACACACACACCCTAAATTTTGTGGCAATGTAGAATTGATGCTCTTTTTGATGCTTTTCTTTCCCACTGTGTAATATTGTTAATACACATTTTGAAATGATCTTGAAAGAAGGTAATAACTGCCATTAAATCACTCACATTGATGGATATATAAAAGTGGATAAAATAGCCTGTTAAAGAAAAAATGGAAATCTTTGCCTCTTTTCAGCACCCCCATGTGGCCATCAGAGAAAAAGGCAAGCGTTGTTGCTAATTACAGATAAATTATGGGTCCCCTATATCAGTACCATGCTGTGTTTATTTGATACGTTAGCAAATGCCATATTAACAAACTAAGAGAAAGTTTTTTATTTTGCTTACATTTTAATAGAGTATCCAAGAAGAAAAAAACAAAGCATATTCTACAATACCAAAAACAAGAAAGTAACTCTCATGTAAAGCAGCAGTGCTAGGTATGTTTCACTGAACAGCAGTGCATAAGTTGTTCCTTGGGGGAGGAAAAAGTATATCTTGGTAAAATAACTTTAAGAAATTCAGTATGCTATCTCCACTGGGATATTAACAGTGAACATCAGCTTAGTAAACACTCCAAAAAGTCCTAGAGTAAAAAAATCTGTTTAACTCTGTTTCACTTATCATTACTTTTAGTTCTGTGAAAGTAGTTAGGTATCTCATTTTAAGACATGCTGAAATAAAACTTTAAATTCTCATAGTTTTTTTGTTTTTGGTTTTTTTTTTTTTTTTACTTAGGAAATTCATAATGACTGGCATTGTAACAACTGTCACACAAGTATAGAATTATGTTGTTGATATGGTTTGGCTTTGTGTCCTCACTCAAATCTCATGTTGAATTATGATCTTCATTGCTGAAGGAGGGGCCTATTGGGAGGTGACTGGACCATGGGGGTGGTTTCTAGTGGTATAGCACCATCCCCTTAGTGCTGTCTCATGACAGAGTTCTCACAAGACCTGGTTGTTTAAAAGTGTGTGGCACCTTCCCCTTCGCACTCTGTCTCTTGTTCCACCATGCGAAGATTGTGCCCGTTTCCCCTTCACCTTCCACCATGTTTGTAAGTTTCCTGAGGCCTCCTGAACAGCCTGTGGAACTGTGAGTCAATTAAACCTTTTTCTCCATAAATTACCCAGTCTCGGATATGTCTTTATAGCAATGTGACAATGGACTAATACAGCTCTTTATGAGTATTTAATATCGGGTGGTCAGTTGAGTGGATTGTGGTTAAATGAATAAATGAATGAATCAATCGAGTGCAGAGAATAATAAAAATTATTCATATAGAATCCAAGTTACTTTCAGACAACATTTTTAATTGGTTATGTTTGTTTTTGCTAAGAACAATATTTCAGTCTAGCCTCACCTCTGCTGTAGTAGTTATCAGTTAAGCACATCAACAGTGATCTATTTCAGATCTTCTTTGGATTAGCCAGAATGAGTGGCATCAAAGAAAGCTTATGTTTACAATGGTTGGGAGTTTCTATTTGTTCCTGACTGTCACTGTTTAAAACTGCTATCACACATATGCCAAAGAAATGATTATGCATCTATTAGTGACTTTTTGTAAGGACAAGCAAAACAATGCCTGTCTTAGTCTCATCACCTTTCTCCCAAAGTCATGCTTTCAGAATAATCTCTGAGAGTCTTACTATTAAGAATTCTTCATTGGTTTGACCTGTGAGAGAGGTACTTATTCAAAAAGCACAGTGGATTTAGTTCCTGCCTTGATAAGTAAAATTTTAGTTATTAATAGCAAGAATTTGCCCTGGATCAATAGCATCAAAGAATAGTAAGGAATAGCAATATTAACAGCTTCTTACAAACCTTCCTTCTTTTTTTCTGGTATATGTAAATGTTCTCTCTCTCTTTCTTTCTCCCTCTCCGTCTCTCCACAAACAGATGCTTCTCACCTTAGATAAGGTTATAACCCAACAGACTCATTATAAGTTCAAAATATCCTAACTTGAAAATGCATATAATAAACAGAACACTATAGCTTGGCCTAGCCCTTATACATGCTCAGACACTTACATTAGCACTGCTAGCTGGGAAGTGCAGCTCACTGCCCCTGCTCGACTTTGCAAAAGCATTGTATAACATGTCTCTGGCCCAGAAAAAGATCAAAATTTAAAATTTGGAGTACAGTTTCTACTGAACACATATTGCTTTTGCATCATAGTAAAACTGAAAAATCAGAAGTTGAAAAATCGTATGTCAGAGACTTAGGGAAATATATATGTATATCTCCCACTAAAGGATTTTGTTAGAAGATAAACATTCTCAATCGTCACAACATTCCATAAGAGGTAATCCCACTCCAACCATTCTTTGGAAGTAACTTAAAGATGTGTTGGCCACATTCAGACAGTGAGAAGTCAGTTACTGCATAAAACACTGACATTGCATTTTTTACATATTTTTAACGCACTAAAACTTATTTTTTATTGCTTTTACTGTCACAAAATTACTGTATTAATTAGCGTTCTCCAGAGAAACAGAACCAATAGGATATAAACAGATATGTATAAAAGAGATTTATTATGAGAATTGGCTCACACGATTATGGAAACCAAGAAGTCCTAGGATATGTCATCTGCAAGCTGGAGAACCAGCGGTATAATTCAGTCATAGTCTGGAAGCCCAAGAACCAGGAGCTCTGCTGCCCAAGGGCAGAAGACGGATATATCAGCTCAGGAAGAGAGAGACAGTATTCATCCTTTCTTTACTGAATCTACTGATTCAAATGCTAATCTCTTCCAGAAACACCCTAATAGACACACCCAGAAATGTTTTGCCAGCTATGTGGGCATCCTGTATGTAGCCCAGTCAAGTTGACACATAAAATTAATCATAATAATAATACAGACCTATTGTAGAAAGTTCAAATAAAAGTAAGCTTGAGAGTTTAGCCCAGACAAGTAGGATACACCCCAACCAGCAGTTTCACCAGAACAGGCTGCCCTCACTCAAGGAGTATATGTACACCTGACACCACATCTAGCTGCACCCAATAATCTGTTTTACACAGAACTAGGCTTCCTGTCCATATAAACAAGAATTTTCAAATACAAATTTGGGTACAAAATGAAGAAGCAACAAGTGTCTGAAGAAAACAGAATGAATCAATAACCAAAGGTGAAAGGTATTATAATAAATAGACTTTAAATAAAATAGGACAAACATAAATAATTT